>NC_000012.12:39581340-39732855 GCF_000001405.40 Homo sapiens | reverse complement strand
AGCTATCAAAGCCTATGAGGTTCATGTCAAAGGACTGAGGAACCATCTTTGGCCAAATATGGGCATTTTGAGTTTCAATAAGGATAAACATTACAATGGACTGAAACCAATCAAATATGGTTCATAATTAATTATATTAAGAAAAAATAATACTCATCTTCAGAGGATGACAGAGAGCCTACTGGTTATTTTGAAAACTGAGTACATAAAAGACTAAAGAATTTGTCTTGCCTTTCTTATATAAACTATACTGCTAGGTATCTTAATAGTAGATGGAGGAGGGGGTATTTTTGTACAAAATTATTCCAGTAAATAAGTGAAAATGACATAAAAGTATATCACCATCTTACAACCCTCCAGCGAATTACTGGATCTAGACATTGAACACCAATGGCTGCTAATATAAGAGAAAAAAGTGAAAAACAGACATTACGAGCCTCCTAATGAAAAAACACACACCACTAACAATCCAGTTAAAGGGATCAAATATAGGTTTGATCAAACCTCTGGATACAGCTGCCAATTTGTAGGAAATATACAGGATGGAGAAACATTGAATTTCACCACAAGAATGCAATCTGCAAAACCATGACTATGAAAATCTCCATATGTCAAATGGAACAGGTTTTTCAAAAAAACTGTCAGAAGAAGAAAGAGATGGAGGGGAATCTGCAGTTTAAAAGAGATCTAAAAGACATATCAGATTTCTTTAAGGAGCAAAATTAAACTTGAGTGTCTAGGGATGCACAATTGGAGTGGTAAAACTGTAAAGATATGCAAGGAAGTGGTTACCATAAAAGTCAAGATCATGGTTACTTTTGGAGGGATGGAGGAGGACATCATTGGAACAGGACCCATGAAAGGGCTTCTCAGGTAGCTGGCAGAATTCTGTTTTTTCACTTGGGTGGAGGTTAGAATGATGTTTGCCTTATGACAATCCTCTAAGCTATCATTTCTTTTGTGTTACATTTTCTACATTTGTGTTTTATAATAAAACAACTGAAATTGAACAAAAAAAAAAAAAGAAAGGCAGCAGAAACAGTCAGGGGCATACAGATAAAACTCCCATCTCCCTGAGACACAGCACCTGGGGGAAGGGGCGGCTATAGGCACAACTTCAGCGGAGTTAAATGTTCCTGCCTGATGGCTCTGAAGACAGCAACAAATCCCCCAGCACAGCGTTTGAGCTCTGCTAAGGGACAGACTGCCTCCTCAAGTGGGTCCCTGACCCCTATGCCTCCTGACTGGGAGACACCTCCCAGCAGGGGTTGACAGACACCACATACAGGAGAGCTCCAGCTGGCATCTGGCGGGTGCCCCTCTGGGACAAAGCTTCCAGAGGAAGGAACAGGCAGAAATCTTTGCTGTTCTGGAGCCTCCACTGGTAATACTTAGGCAAACAGGGCCTGGAGTGGACCTCCAGCAAACTCCAGCAGACCTGCAGCAGAGGGGCCTGTTAGAAGGAACTAACAAACAGAAAGGAATAGCATTAACATCAACAAAAAGGATGTCCACACAGAAACCCCATCCGAAGGTCACCAACATCAAAGACCAAAGGTAGATAAATCCACAAAGATGAGGAAAAACCAGCACAAAAAGGCTGAAAATTCCAAAACCAGAACACCTCTTCTCCCCCAAAGAATCACAACTCCTCCCCAGCAAGGGAACAAAACTGGACAGAGAATGAGTTTGATGAATTGACAGAAGTAGGCTTCAGAAGGTGGGTAATAACAAACTCCTCCGAGCTAAAGACGCGTGTTCTAACCCAATGCAAGGAAGCTAAGAACCTTGAAAAAAGGTTAGAGGAATTGCTAACTAGAATAACCAGTTTACAGAAAAACATAAATGACCTGATGGAGCTGAAAAACACAGCACAAGAACTTCGTGAAGCATACACAAGTATCAATAGCCAAATCAATCAAGCAGAAAAAAAGTCTATCAGAGATTCAAGATCAACTTAATGAAATAAAGCATGAAGACAAGATTAGAGAAAAAAGAATGAAGAGAAATGAACAAAGCCTCCAAGAAATATGGGACTATGTGAAAAGACCAAACCTACATTTGATTAGTGTACCTGAAGGTGACGGGGAGAATGGAACCAAGTTGGAAAACACTTTTCAGGATATTATCCAGGAGAACTCCCCCAACCTAGCAAGACAGGCCAACACCAGGAAATACAGAGAATACCACAAAGATACTCCTCAAGAAGAGCAACCCCAAGACACGTAGTCGTCAGATTCACCAAAGTTGAAATAAAGGAAAAAATGTTAAGGGTAGCCAGAGAGAAAGGTCAGGTTACTCACAAAGGGAAGCCCATCAGACTAACAGCAGATCTCTCTGCAGAAACCCTACAAGCCAGAAGAAAGTTGGGGGCCAATATTCAACATTTTAAAGAAAAGAATTTTCAACCCAGAATTTCATATCCAGCCAAACTAAGCTTCACAAGAGAAGGAGAAATAAAATCCTTTAGAGACAAGCAAATGCTGAAAAATTTTTGTCACCACCAGGCCTGCCTTACAAGAGGTCCTGAAGAAAGCACTAAATATGGAAAGGAGAAACCGGTAGCAGCCACTGCAAAAATGTACTAAATTGTAAAGACCATTTATGCTGAAGAAACTGCGCCAACTAACGGGCAAAATAACCAGCTGACATCATAATGACAGGATCAAATTCACACATAACAATATTAACCTTAAATGTAAATGGGCTAAATGCCCCAATTAAAAGACACAGACTGGCAAATTGGATAAAAATTCAAGACCCATAGGTGTGCTGTATTCAGGAGACTGATCCCACCTGCAAAGACACACATAGGCTCAAAATAAAAGGATGGAGGAATATTTACCAAGCAAATAGAAAGCAAAAAAAGCAGGGGCTGCAATCCTAGTCTCTGATAAAACAGACTTTAAACAAACAAAGATCAAAAAAGAGAAAGAAGGACATTACATAATGGTAAAGGGATCAATGCAACAAGAAGAGCTAACTATCCTAAATATATATGCACCCAATACAAGAGCACCCAGATTCATAAAGCAAGTTCTTAGAGATCTACAAAGAGACTTATACTCCCACATAATAATAGTGGGAGACTTTAGCACCCCACTGTCAATATTAGACAGATCAACAAGACAGAAAATTAACAAGGATATTAAAGACTTGAACTCAGCTCTGGAACAAGTGGACCTAATAGACATCTACAGAACTCTCCACCCCAAATCAACAGAATATACATTCTTCTCAGCACCACATCACACTTATTCTAAAATTGACCATATAATTGGAAGTAAAACACTCCTCAGCAAATGCAAAAGAATGGAAATCATAACAAACAGTCACTCAGACCACAGTGCAATCAAATTAGAATTCAAGGTTAAGAAACTCACTTAAAACCACACAACTACATGGAAACTGAACAACCTGCTCCTGAATGCCTACTGGGTAAATAACAAAATGAAGATAGAAATAAATAAGTACATTGAAACCAATGAGAACAAAGACACAATATATCAGAATCTCTGGGACACAGCTAAAGCAGTGGTTACAGGGAAATTTATAGTACTAAATGCCCACAGGAGAAGACGGGAAAGATCTAAAATTGACACCTTAACATCCCAATTAAAAGAACTAGAGAAGCAAGAGCTAACAAATTCAAAAGCTAGCAGAAGACAAGAAATAACTAAGATCAGAGCAGAACTAAAGGAGATAGAGACATGAAAAACCCTTCAAAAACTCAAGGAATCTGGGAGCTGGTTTTTTGAAAAGATTAACAAAATAGATAGACCACTAGCCAGACTAACAAAGAAGAAGAGAGAAGAATCAAATAGACACAACAAAAAATGATAAAGGGGAGATCACCACTGATCCCACAGAAATACAAACTACCACCAGAGAATACTATAAACACCTCTATGCAGATATAACTAGAAAATCTAGAAGAAATGGATGAATTCCTGGACACATACACCCTCCCAAGACCAAATCAGGAAGAAGTTGAATCCTTGAATACACCAATAACAAGTTCTGAAATTGAGGCAGTAATTAATAGCCTACCAACCAAAAAAAAAAAAAAAAAAAAGCCCAGGACCAGATGGATTCAGAGCCGAATTCTACCAGAGGTACACAGAGGAGCTGGTACCATTCCTTCTGAAACTACTCCAAACAATAGAAAAAGAGGGACTCTTCACTAACTCATTTTATGAGGCCAGCATCATCCTGATACCAAAACCTGGCAGAGACACAATAAAAAAACAAAATTTCAGGCCAATATGCCTGATGAACATCAATGCAAAAATTATCCATTAAATACCGGCAAACCAAATCCAGCAGCACATCAAAAAGCTTATCCATCATGATCAAGTTGGCTTCATCCCTGAGATGCAAGGCTGGTTTAACATAGGCAAATCATTAAACATAATCCATCACACATAAACATGATCAATGTCAAAAACCACATGATTATCTCAATATATGCAAAAAAAGGCCTTCAATAAAATTCAACACCCCTTCATGCTAAAAACTCTCAATAAACTAGATATTGATGGAATGAATCTCAAAATAATAAGAGCTATTTATGACAAACCCACAGCCAATATCATACTGAATGGGCAAAAGCTGGAAGCATTCCCTTTAAAAACCAGCACAAGACAACGATGCCCTCTCTCACCACTCCTATTCAACATAGAATTGGAAGTTCTGGCTAGGGTAATCAGGCAAGAGAAAGAAATAAATAGGAAGAGAGAAAGTCAAATTGTCTCTGTTTGCTGATGACATGATTGTATATTTAGAAAACCCCATTGTCTCAGCCCAAAATCTCCTTAAGCTGATAAGCAACTTCAGGAAAGTCTCAGGATACAAAATCAATGTGCAAAAATTACAAGCATTCCTGTACACCAATAATAGACAAACAGAGAGTCAAATCATGAGTGAACTCTCATTCACAATTGCTACAAAGATAATAAAATACCTAGGAATACAAATTACATGGGATGTGAAGGATCTCTTCAAGGAGAACTACAAACCACTGCTCTAGGAAATAAGAGAGGACACAAACAAATGGAAGAACATTCCATGCTCGTGGATAGGAAGAATCAATATTGTGAAAATGGCCATACTGCCCAAAGTAATTTATAGATTCAATGATATCCCCATAACACAATTAGACTTTCTTCACAGAATTAGACTTTCTTCACAGAATTAGACTTTCTTCACAGAATTAGAAAAAGCTAAATTTCATATGGAACCAAAAAAGAGCCCGTATAGCCAAGACAACCCTAAGCAAAAAGGACAAAACTATACTACAAGGCTACAGTAACCAAAACAACATGGTACTGGTAGCAAAACAGATATATAGACCAATGGAACAGAATGGAGGCCTCAGAAATAATGCCACACATCTACAACCATTTGATCTTTGACAAACCTGACAAAAACAAGCAATGGGGAAAGGACTCCCTATTGAATAAATGCTGTTGTGAAAACTGGCTAGCCATATGCAGAAAACTGAAACTGGACCCCTTCCTTACACCTTATATAAAATTTAACTCAAGATGGATTAAGGACTTAAACATAAGACTTAAAACCATAAAAACCCTAGAAGAAAACCTAGGCAATACCATTCAGGACATAGGCATGGGCAAAGACCTCATGACTAAAACACCAAAAGCAGTGACAACAAAAGCCAAAATTGACAAATGGGATCTAATTAAACTAAAGAGCTTCTGCACAGCAAGAGTGAACAGGCAACCTACAGAATGGGAGAAAATTTTTGCAATCTATCCATCTGACAAAGGGCTAATATCCAGAATCTGCAAGGAACTTACACAAATTTACAAGAAGAAAAACAAACAACCCCATCAAAAAGTGGGCAAAGGATATGAACAGACACTTCTCAAAAGAAGACATTTATGCAGCCAACAAACACAGGAAAAAAAGCTCATCATCGCTGGTCATTAGAGAAATGCAAATCAAAACCAGAATGAGATACCATCTCGCGCCAGTTAGAATGGCAATTATTAAAACGTCAGGAAAGAACAGATGCTGGAGAGGATATGGAGAAATAGGAATGCTTTTACACTGTTGGTGGGAGTGTAAATTAGTTCAACCATTGTGGAAGACAGTGTGGCGATTCCTCAAGGATCTACAACCAGAAATATCATTTGACCCAGCAATCCCACTACTGGGTATATACCCAAAGGATTATAAATCATTCTACTATAAAGACACATGCACATGTGTGTTTATTGCAGCAGTATTCACAATAGCAAAGACTTGGAACCAACCCAAATGCCCATCAATGATAGACTGGATAAAGAAAATGTGGCACATATACACCATGGAATACTATGCAGCCATAAAAAGAGGATGAGTCCATGTCCTTTGCAGGGACATGGATGAAGCTTCAAACCATCATTCTCAGCAAACTAACACAGGAACAGAAAACCAAACACTGCATGTTCTCACTCGTAAGTGGGAGTTGAGTTGTGAGAACACATGCACACAGGGAGGGGAACATCACACACTGGAGCCTGTTGGGGTGTGGGGGGCTAGGGGAGGGAATAGCATTAGGAGAAATACCTAATGTAGATGACTGGTTGATGGGTGCAGCAAACCACCATGGCACATGTATACCTATGTAACAAACCTGCATATTCTGCACCTGTGTCCGGAACTTGAAGTATAATTAAAAAGAAGAAGAAGAAGAAGAGGAGGAAGAGGAGGAGGAGGAGGAGGAGGCAGCAGCAAAAAAAGAAGAAAATTAAAAGAAAATAGAGACTGGGAAAAATAGTTTTGCTGGTACAAGTTGTTTTGAAAAGGCAAATTTGTTCCACGTGACTGACATATTAGGAAACAATTTGAGCATAATGCAAGTATCACACTGGCTGATGTGCAGTTGTGTCCACAAGAAACACCAGGTGAACACACAAACCTGTACCCATCAGAACTGAACCACATAATACACAAAATGAACACACACACACCCCTCAGACACCTACCAGCTACCTCAATTCGCTGTGTGTATTATCTCATACGGTTGTGTTTTGCTGTTCTTTCACATTGTGGACATTTATAGATATCAATTATATAATTATACATAGGTTATTATATATATTATACATATATAAAATATACATGAATAAATACAATCAGTCAACATCCTAAAATATCTATGTGTCCTGATTTTAAAATGTGCATGACACAGAAAGCATTAAGTATTAAAGAGGAGCTTGAAATAGCCTTTTGAAGGAAATGAGAGAACACGTGGTACCTCTTGAGCAACAGGCATAAAGGAATACATATTGTAGACCAACAGAGACAGTACTGCGAAATAAAACAAATTCCTGTTGCTAAAGCCATTTCAAGTGCTATGAAGTCTATAAGAAGGCCTAAAGACATATGAGAAATAGGAAAATAGTTGAGCATATGGGTTGAAAAGCAAACAGGGATACAATCAAGAAAAACCTTTCCTACAGTCAAAGAGAAAGCACTTATCTATATACAATATAAAGACCCTAAATATGTCACCAAATCCTACAGAGCAGATCCTTCATGCTAGTAGTGGCTAGTTTGTGATTTCAAACACTGTTACAGCTGTAGGGCTGGAAACACAATTTTGGAATGACAATTATTTTGTCAGCATTTGGAAGGTATTATTACACTGTCTTTTAGCTTCCATCATTGCTGTTAGTAAGTCATATGACACTGTAGCTGTCTTTTCTAAGAATGTAGTCTTTTTCTCTTCAGTGGCTTTCATGTTTTTCATTTGACTTTGAGGCTCTGTCATTTTATTATGTTGGGACTAGAATATAGATTTCATTTTTTTTAATCCCACTTGGAAATTGCTGGTCTTCATGAATCTGTGGATTATATAATAGATCCATTCTAGAAAAATTCTCAGCTATTATCTCTTCAAATTATGCCTCTATTCTCTCTCTCTCTCCTATACTGTTGATACTTCAATTAAACATATAAAGCTTCTCACACTGTCCTTCTTATTGTTTAATTAATGCTCTTTCATATTTTCTATTTCTTTTTCTCTTCTGGCATTCTGGATAATTTATGCTTATATATATTTCACTTCACAAATTCTCTCTTCACCTGTATCTAACATGCCACTTTGCCCACATATTAAATTTTCAGCAGATGGCAGAAATGGAAATCTGAGACTAGAGAATGGTAAAACTACAAAAATTAGCAATGTTAACCTTTTAGTTATACCTATAAAGCCAATTCATCCATCTACTTGTCATAATCTCTGCCTGTCTTAATTTGACTTGCCCCAGAAACAAACAATGAGACAAGGATTCAAGTACATATAGTTTGTTTGGGGTATGATTTCAAGAAACGCATAGAGGTGGGGAGTGAGACAGATGGGAGAAGAAGGGAAGTGTTGGTTATTAAGCAAGTTACCATTGTGAGCAACTTAAGGTTAATCCTTCTGAGGAACTCAGCAGGAATAGTGTTTTCCAACATGAGAGGGCACAGACATCACTCTACAGATTCCCAGGACCTACTGCCTGAGATTTTGATTCAGTAATTTGGGGGTGGGTTCCACAAATTTTAATTACTAACCAGTTCCCAACCAATATCGATGCTACTGTTACTGGTCAGTGGATACTTTGAGTAAGCAGAGTTGTAGAACACACTTTCAAAGACTTATCCCGCCCAAGAGGCAAGGGAGGAGTATTTAACCACCAATTCCCATCAGATATTGTTTAAAACGACTGCGCTCAAACAGCATTAACACTCTGGTACTTCCTCTGCCTCCTCCTAGGCAGAAGAGGTATCTGCAGCCAAAAGACACCCCTCGGGAAATGAGTCATGCACTGGCAGCTGCAAGTCAGGCTGGTATGTATGAAAATGAGGGATGCCCAAGAAATGTGAGCTGGGCACAGATAGCATTTGCTACATTGCTATATTGTCACGGAGGAAAATAAACAATTAACCAAGAAATTATAAACAAATTGCAATTGTTATAAGTGCTTTAAAAGTAAATTACATGAAACTACCCGTAAAGATAGCCTCTCATCTTATTACAGATGGAAACTTCCTAGAGTTGTTGTGAACCAAAAAAATGTACTGTTTCACAAATAGGGTTAAACACCAACTCCAGCCCAATACTGTATAGCATTGGCCCTTACTGAATGTATAGTATCTTATCTGAAGTCACTCTGATTGGCAGTTTACATTAGAAATGTGTGCAGAATCATTAAATTTTCATTTTGTTTCATCTGGGTAGAACCTAGCTAGGATTTACTCTGCTTTATAAACATTAAATTACAAACATGGAATGAAAACAATGTTTATTTCAATTGCTTTTTATTTATATTTTCATCAGTTTCACCGAGAAAGCCCAAACCAGTAATGCATTTTGAGAAGTATGTTATAATTACATAAGATGGCTTATTTTGCAAATCCATACTCACTTTCCACTCTGAATATATTTATCTCCTTAAAGCGTCTAAGGAATTAGCAACTGTGAAGTTAGGGAATAGACCATAAAACTGCCTTTACTTCTGACACCAACAGCAAGTCTGTGAGTTCCAAGACCACCCTCAGATTTGGTAATTCGTTAGAAGGACTCACGGAACACACTGAAAGATATTATATTCACAGTTATAGTTTATTATAGTAAAAGGATACCAGTTAAAATCAACCAAGAGAAGAAACACATCGGACAGAGTCTAGGAAAGTAATAAACAGGGAGCTTTCAGTCATCCTCTCTCATGGAGTGATGGACAGCATTACTTTTCTGGCAATGACTGACAATTCACATGAAGTATTGCCAACCAGGGAAGCTCACCTGAGCCTTGGTATTCAAAGTCTTTACTGGGTCTCAATCACAGCGGTGTGGCTGACTACCCAATCTCAGTTTCTGATCCCTTAGGAAGGCAAGCTGTTATTGCTTTACTCAACGTCTCCATCCTAAATCATATTGTTACTATCTAAATTGGGCCAAGCTTCCTAGGCAAATAAAGACACTCACTAGCCATGACATTCCAAGGGCTTGGAGGTTACCTCCCAGAAGCCAAGAGTAAAGGCAATACCGCTTTTGGGGCAAGATTAAATTCTTTACTGCACTACACTTTACTCTGCTGTCACTGTAAGTGGTCACTGCATTTTTTTAAAGCCCTGAAATTCCTCATCTTACAGAGCTTAACTGCTACATTATGATATTGATAAAAACAGAACTAGGTGTGTACTTTCATAATTAATGTACTTTCAATATTGCTAGACTTTGATGCATATTTGGAAAAATATCAGTTTACTTGATATTTGAAACCAACCCAAAATTCACAGCTCAAGTTTATTCTACTGTCATCATTATAGTCTTCTTTTTCTATGTATCAGTGTTCACTGCTATAGTATGCAATATTTTTGCAAAATAATGCTCAGGATAACCAATCCACAGTGGAATACCTTTCATTTAGTATCTGGATAAAATCTGGCCTTTTGAAAAACTATCAACATACATATATCAGATAATTATATTCCCCTTCCATGAGTTGATCATTAAACTGGAAGAAAATACTTAGGAGCTTATTGTGCTCTGTAAGATAGCAAAAATCACTTCCTAAAACTAGCTAAAAACCTGAAGATTGCTACTATTTAAACTTTAGCTGTTGGTGTCTCCAAATTGCAATGCCCCAAATCACCTCTGCAACACAGACTCTTGAGTGATACATCTGTGTATAAAAATGTAACATGAAAACATTGTTTTCTTTAAAGGCAAAGAAACCTCTAACAATTTTATTTTGGGTTCAGTTAGATACTAGAATGCCCTCTGCTGTGTACCATGAAATATATCAAAACAAGTGTCAATTTTAGAGTACAAACATTTAAAATCCTTATACAAAATAAGTGTTGTCTTAGAAACAAAGCCTATATTTTAGAATAGGAAATCTTGTTATAATATTTATGAAAAGAATCTTAGCAACACTAAAATTAGTAACATAAATCATTTTTTAATTTCAAACAATTATTTTATAAAAACATTAAAACATCTTTTAATCCTACAGAACATTTTCCTTTGAATTAATAGCACCAACAAAAAAACTATGTTATGCAAATAGAAGATATGTGTTATCTACAAATTAATGCTAGAATTTTTAAATAGGACTGTAATATTAAAGAGAAGTAGCTAACAAAATTATTATAATGAGGACATAAAATATATTAGGTATTATTTTCTATCTTAAATATCTTGAAAGGGAACATTTTTGCCAGAAAATGCAACTGCAAAGAATATTAAAATAAATGCTAC
Organism: Homo sapiens; assembly: GCF_000001405.40. Classification (NCBI taxonomy): domain Eukaryota; kingdom Metazoa; phylum Chordata; class Mammalia; order Primates; family Hominidae; genus Homo; species Homo sapiens. The sequence continues at coordinate 39,721,595 of NC_000012.12, read as the reverse complement.
AAGGAAGGAAGCAATTAAGCATATTTTAACCCATAAATAACAGCGCATCATTGTAATATACTGAATAATCACATAAAAACGCTAGTACATTTACAAATATATTATTTTCTAAAAACTCTACCATATACCAAAGCTATTAAGGAAATGGCTATATACAAATTAAATACATACATTAATAATATTAAAATGTTTTAACATGAACCGTGAATATACACCCTGAACACTGTCAGCTTATGCTTAGCTACTTTTTCTCATTTCTTATCATGTTAATGAAATTTTCAACATTTACTGTTGTTTTCTAAGGGCAAGTGAAATTCTACATCCTAGGTAGAGATTTTAGAATATTAGTTGTTCTTATGGATTTCCTGCCCTCCAGTGGTATCTGCCTTAATATTTCCACTGCACCTTTCAAGGTTGCAAAGAGAAACATCACTTCTACATGTACATTTTGAAATTAGATCACACTGTATGGCAACATCTAATTTTTCCTCCATTACAGATTCACTCTCTGTTTGTATCCCTGCATCACACCTTGCAGCCTGCAGAACGCAGTTATCATTGGTTTTGTTTTGCAAAATGTGGGCTGAATTGCACTGCAACTGTGGAAACTGATCTGTATTATTTTTCACTGAGAACTGGTAGAAATTCTCATTCTGTTTGTGAATTTTGTCATCGTTTTTAACAATCCTGTCACCTGAAAGTTTTGCCATCCTTTCTACATAAAAATTATTCATTTTTTCCTTGGTTTTGATGGTCATCCTATTTGAATCTTCAATTTGCTGTGATATTTGATCTTCATCTTCAGATGGCTAAAAAGAAATTAATAATTTTGCTCTAAACCATGCTTACATTTTAAAAATGCATTCAATCACTTCAAAGAATATATTCTTAAAATCCCAACTATAGAAAATTTCTAAATACAGAAGAGAGTTTGGCAAGTTACAAATCAAAGCAGGTATATCATCAAAGAGTCTTCAACCAATAATCTGCTATACCTCCCAGGAGGCTATGAATTCTAAAATAGCAGTAACAATAATAATCTTTGTAATAAAAATGCAAAAGAGGTAAAAAGGAGACGAGAAATTTTGTCTTTTATTAGTCCCTATAATCACAGGCTCTATCATCTCTCTACCCTTTCAACAGAAGAAATGATATGCAGCATACTTCCTCCACTTAAAAAGAGTAGACTAGAAGAAGTACCTTCGAAGGAAACAGCTAACATATAACCTGTTCAATTATTTATTGATTCATTAAGTAAAAAATAACTACTTGTATGCTTTTTATGGGCCCAGTCCAATGAAATATATATATATATAATCTTAAGAAGATAACATAACTTAAGAAGAGCATCAGGTAATAGGAAATTAAATAGACAAAGAAAAGTTAAGTAGCAATACATAAGCAATACATATCTCAACTGTTATATAAAAAGACAACCTTTAAGAACTTTTTTTAAGAACTTTTTAATAGGTCTAGATTTCAATTTTCTAAGCATAAATTTTTCAAACTTCTTGAAAAATTTCTTTTAATTACTGAATTAATGAAAATATTCTTTTAATGAAAATCTTATATAAAGTATTGATTATTCAAGTTAAAAATACAAAGTTAATATAAAAAACTAAATATAAAAAGGGGTATAGGCTTTAGCTGATTGACACTGAAAAATGTATATTTCAAAATAGCTAGTAGATACGTCTTAAAATGGTCCGAACACAGAGAAATAAATACTCAAGGGGATGGATATCCTAAATATTCTGGCTTGATCATTACACATTTGAGTCATGTAACAAAACATCATATATACCCAATTAAATACGTACAAATATTATACATCAATAAAAAATAAAAGGTAAATCTAAACATGCTTCTTTAGTGATGCAATTTGAGTTATACTCTTTCAGAGAATTGAACTGTTTAACAAATAGACAAACTTGTAATCTAGTGTTGATAACATGTTATTGGTGATTTTTTTTTATTTTTTTGAGACAGGGTCTCACTCCATTGCCTGGGTTGGAGTGCAGTGGCACAATCATGGCTCACTGTGACCTCAACCTCCCAGGCTCAGGTGATTCTCCCACCTCAGCCTCTCCAGTAACTGGGACCATAGGCACACGCCACCATGTCTGACTAATTTTTTGTATTTGTTTTTGCCATGTTGTCCAGGCTGGTCACGAACTCCTGGGCTCAAGCAATTGCCCACCTCAGTCTCCCAAAATGCTGGGATTACAAGCATGAACCAACATGCCTGGCTAAGTGCTATTTCTTATCTTTGTTCATAAATACTTATTATAATGTGTTTATGCATACACATTTAAAATGTAATTATAAGCAGGATCCTTTAGAAATGCATTATTTGCTCTTTTCTTTCAGGGAATGGAACTAGTTAACAAAGAACACTGTAATATAGTGCTGAGAACATGCTATTAAAGGACAGTCATCTCTTCCTTTCTAAGGCCTCATTTGCATGAGTTTACATATACACAAGCAAAAGCTAAATCTACGTACAGTTCTTTTAAAAAAGAAAGAAAAGGAAACTTGTGAAGGAAAATGTACTTTTGTGAAATACCTTTTTATGTTGTATTAAAAATGTAGCTTTTATGTGGGTGCAGGATTGCTATGACAAAGGCATACCGTTAGATGCTAATGTGATTTGAGAAAAAGTGAAGCCATTATATGACAACTTAAAGCAAAAGGAAGCTGAAGGATCTAATGCTGGAGAATTTAATGCCAGCAAAGCATGGTTTGATAATTTTAGAAACAGCTTTGGCTTAAAAAATATCAAGGTAATAGGGGAAGCAGCTTCTGCAGACCAAGAAGCAGCAGACACATTCCCAGATGCCTTTAAAGAAAATCACTGAAGAAAAAGGATATCTGCCTAAACAAGTTTTTAATGGAGACAAAAGTGCCCTATTCCAGGAAAAAAAAAATGTCACATAGGATATTTATTAGGAAGGGAAGCAAGCACCAGGATTTAAGGCAGGATGGGATAGGCTAACTTTACTGTTTTGTGCAAATGCAGTCAGGTTTATGACCAAGATTGCCCTTATTTATAAAGCTGCTCACCCTCAAGTTTTGAAGGGAAGGATAAACACCAATTGCCAGTTTCTTGGTAATACAATAAGAAAGCCTGGAAAACAAAAATTCTTTTTCTGAGTTGATTCCATCAGTGCTTTGCCCCTAGAGTCAGTAAGTGCTTTGCCAGTAAGGGACTGCCTTTTAAAGTTATTTTGATATTGCTAATGCCCCTGGCCACCCAGAATCCCATCAGTTCAACACCGAAGGCATCAAAATAGTTTACATGTTTTGAAGCACAACATCTCTAATTCAGCCTCTAGATTAGGGAGTCACAGTGACCTTTAAGGTTCATTATACATTGTGCTCTATGGAAAGGATGGTCAATGCGATGGGAGAGAACCCAAGAGAGAGAACATCATAAAATTCTGGAAGGATTATACCATTGAACATGCCATTACTGTTATAGAAAAAGCCATGAACATCATCAAGACTCGGAAAAGAAATCCCTGCAGAAGAAAACTGTTGTAGATGTTAAACATGACTTCATAGGATTTACAAGAGCTAATCAAGAAAATCATGAAAGAGACTGTGGATATGGCAAAAAAAAAAGGTGAAAGGTGAAGGGTTTCAAGATATGGAGGTTAGAAAAATTAAAGAGCTAATATATACCACTCCAGGGGAATTAACAGAAGACAACTTGATGGAGATGAGTACTTAACAACCAGTTACAGACAACAAGCAAGAAGACATAAAAGAAGCAGTGCCAGAAAAATCTGACTTTAGACAATCTGGCAGAAGTGTTGATTACTCAAGACCTCTTTTGATTTCTTTACGACATAGACCTTTCTATGATACAGGCTCTGAAGCTAAAGTAAACAGTAGAAGAAGAATTGGTACCATATTAAAACATTTTTAGAGAAACGAAAAATCAAAAGTCAGACAGAAATAACGATGTATTTCCATAAGTTACACCAAGTGTGCCTGCCTCTCCTGCCCACCATTCTACTTCCTCCACCTCTTCTGCCTATGCTACCAATGAAACAGCAAGACCAACTCTGCCTCTCCCTTCTCCTCCTCAGCCTACTCAACATGAAGATGATGAGGATTATGATGATTTATGATGATCTATTCCTACTTAATGAATAGTAAATATATCTTTTCTTCCTTAAGATTTCCTTAGTAACGTTTTCTTTTCTTTAGCTTACTTTATTGTATAAATATAGTATATAATATATACAACATACAAAATATGTGTTAATCAACTGTTTATGTTATCAGTAAGGATTCTGGCAACAGTAGGCTATTAGTAGTTAAGTTTGGCGGAGTCAAACCTTTTATTCAGATTTCTGACTGGGCAGCATCCCTAACCCCTGCATTGTTCAATGACAAACTGTACACACATAATGTGTGTGTGTGTGTATGTGTGTATATATATAACATATATATGTATATATATGTATGTATATAAGGTATCTTGATAAAAGGATAAAAGGTGTTTTGTAAATGGCAATAAATGCATTTTTACAAATGTGAAAAATGGTACTCATGGACATTTTTATTTACATTTTTCTTTTCTACATTTTTAAATGTACTTTTTAAAATTTTTTACCTTTTTGTTTATATTAATTTTTACTTCCACTATTTAATTGACTCAACAGTTTTATAGGGTAAAGGTAAACTATGAGAAAAACAAATAATTATTAATATAGCATGTATTAATAAGTGAAACAAGCATCACTTACCAAATCTGAACTAGAACTGAAACAGCTGTCTGTTGGTCTTGGAGAGTAACTAGTAGACCGACTACTCTGTGCAGAATCAAGAGCTGAAAATAAAGGTTTAATACATGAATAATGGTATTTATGAATAATCTACAACATACATATGCCAGGCAGAAGATATCTGCTGGTAAAACAAATTTAGCTAACAACACAAAACACTTTAAAATGTACCAAAATTAGTTAAAATTGTGGATACTTGGCACCTTACAATTCTGACAGGATTTCTGGGTTTATTTTACCCTTAAAAGATTTGTAGCTAGAAATGAAATAAGGGTATATAACGTAAGTGAAGAAAACAGAATAGAGAAAGTTGGATTGATTTTTCCAACATATGCATTATATTTTATGAACTAATAATTTAAAGTGTTAACCTGAGGGAAGGAAGAGAAAACCAAGTTATTAAGTCCTAAGGCATCAGACATTTGCCAATCTAGTAAATGAAAGTTTACTGTGCAATCAAAAGATGCGAATAAAACCTATTCAAAGCATCCAGTTTGATACATTTTCATTATCTGCTTAATATTGTTATTTTACAATTGCAAGTAAAGTTTTAAAATGGGATTGAGATGTAGGTCATGAATCCCTACTATGTATAAATGATAAAGAGCAACCGTAGCTTCAACCACTCCTGTTCCCTTGTTTATGAAAATGGGTCTGCTATCAAGAGAAGCAAAAGGCTGCAGAACATGAAACAACACATACCAGATCACATGCCCTACTATATGCAATAAACCATGAGTACCTCAGGCCAGGACTGATGCTCTCTGTAACAGAATCTAGCTTCAGTCAGCTGAGAGGCAGAGAGAACTTAGCTGAACTCTGATACCCTTATTTCATCATTCTAGAAGGAAATTTATACCCCCGAAAAGCAGGTTTCTCCCTGACAATGAAAGTAGAGTGCACAAAAGTGAAGGGTAGAATATCACTACTAACAACATAATTTAAGGGCATTTCACCCCAATAAGGTTCATTCAGTCCATAAGTACTATAAATCCACCATGATCAGAAGGGAAGAAATTTGTCCACTGAATGAATGTTCTCACCTTTAACAGTACAGCAAAGGGCATGCAAATGAAAATAAGTACAATTAAACACTCGTTTTGGTGACCATGGCCTTATGGTATAGTTTGAAATCAGGTAGTGTGATGTGTCCAGATTTGTTATCTTTGCTTAGTCTTGCTTTGGCTATGTGGGCTCTTTTTCGGTTCCATACAGATTTTAGAATTGTTTTTTCTAGTTCTGTGAAGAATGATGGTGGTATTTTCATGGGAATTGCATTGAATTCGTAGATTGCTTTTGGCAGTATGGTCATTTTCAAAATATTGATTCTACCCATCCATGAGCATGGGATGTGCATGGTACTGGTATAAAAATAGGCACATAGACCAATGGAACAGAATAGAGAACCCGGAAATAAACCCAAATATTTACAGCCAACTGATCTTCAACGAAGGAAACGAAACATAAAGTGGGGAAAAGAAACCCTTTTCAACAAATGGTGCTGGGCTAATTAGCTAGCCACATACAGGAGAATGAAACGATCCTCATCTCTTACCTTAGACAAAAAATCAACTCAAGATTGATTAAGGACTTAAACCTAAGACTTGAAATTATAAAAATTCTAGAAGATAGCATGGGAAAAACCCTTCTAGACATTGGCTTAGGCAAGGATTTCATGACCAAGAACACAAAAGCACATGCAACAGAAACAAATATATAGCTGGGACCTAATTAAACTAAAGAGCTTTTGCACGGCAAAAGGAACAGTCAGAAAAGTAAACAGACAACCCACAAAGTGGGAGAAAATCTTCACAATCTATACATCTGACAAAGGACTTATATCCAGAATTTACAAGGAACTCAAATAATTCAGTAAGAAAAAAACAAACAATCTCATCAAAAAGTGGGCTAAGGGCATGAATAGACAATTCTCAAAAGAAGATATACCAATGGCCAGCAAACACATGAAAAAATGCTCAATATCACTAATGACCAGGGAAATGCAAATCAAAACCACAATGTGATACCACCTTACTCCTGCAAGAATGGCCATATCAAAAAATAAAAAAACTGTAGATGTTGGTATGGGAGTGGTGAACAGGGAACACTTCTACATTGCTGGTGGGAATGTAAACTAGTACAGCCACTATGGAAAACAGCATAGAAATTACTTAAAGAACTAAAAGTAGAACTACCATTTGGTCCAGCAGTCCCACTAATGGGTATCCACCCAGAGGAAAAGAAATCAATATTCAAAAAATTCAAAAAAGATACTTTCACACACGTTTACAGCAGCATAATTCACAATTACAAAATCATGCAACAAACCCAAATGCCCATCAATCAACGAGTGGATGAAGACACAATATGTGTGTGTATATATCTAAACACACATATATATACATATATACATATACACATATACATGGAAGCACATATATACACATATACATATATTCAGACATATATACATATATGCCTGTATATACGTATATACATATATGCATGCATATACGTATATACATATATACATATATGCATGCATATACGTATATACATATATACATATATGCATGCATATACGTATATGCATGTATATACATATATACATATATGCATGTATATACATATACGCATATATGCATGTATATACATATATACGTATGTACATATATACATATACACGTATACATACGTATATACATGTACATATATGTGTATATACACGTATATACACATACGTGTATATACATGTGTATATACATGTATATATACTTATATAAACGTATATGCACATAGGTGTACATACATGTATATATACGTATATGCACATACCTGTATATACACGTATATATAGGTATATGCACATAATTTAATATATACATATACACATACGTATATACGTATAAGTGTATATACGTAAATATACATATATATGTATGTATATATGCATATATATACGTGTATATACATGTATACACGTATATATACACATGCATATATACATCTATGTATATTTACGTACAAATATATATATACGTGTATACATGTATATATACATATGTATATACGCATGTATACAGGCATACATAAATATGTATATACGCATGTATACAGGCATACATACATATGTATATACGCATGTATACAGGTATATATACATATGTACTGTATACATGCGTATATACATATGTATATATACGTATCTATACATGTGTATACATATGTACGCGTACACATGTATGCACGCATGTATACGTATGTACGTGTACACATGTATGCACGCATGTATACATATGTATGTGTACAAATGTATAAATGTATACATGTATATATACAAATGTATGTATACATATGTATATGTACACATATATACATATGTATATGTGTATACATACGTATGTGTCTACACACATACATATGTATATGTGTATACACGTATATGTGTATACACATATATACACGTATATGTGTATACACATATATACACGTATGTGTGTGTACACATATATACACGTATGTGTGTGTACACATATATACACGTATGTGTGTGTACACATATATACACGTATATGTGTAATATAAACATATATGAATATGCAAATATATACACATGGGTATATGCACATATATACACGTGTGTATATGCACATATCTACATATATACGTATATGCACATATCTACATATATACGTATATGCACATATCTACACATACACGTATGCACGTGTATACACATATACACGTATATACACATGTATATATACATATACACGTATATACACATGTATATATACATATACACGTATATACACATGTATATATACATATACACGTATATGCATATATGTATATACACGTATATACACGTATATGCACATATGTATATACGTATATACACGTATATGCATATATGTATATACGTGTATATACGTGTATATACATATGTGTATATACGTGTATATGTATATACATACACACATGTATACGAGTATACACATATATACATATACGTATATACACATGTATACATACGTATATACACATATGTGTACACGTCTATATACATATATACACGTATACGTCTATATACATATATACACGTATACGTATATATACATATATACACATGTATACATACATATATACATAAATATAAATGTGTATACATATATACACATATCTATATATACATATATATGTATATACGTATATACATATATACGTATATACGTATATACACATATGTCGTGTATATACGCATATTCGTATATGTCGTGTATATACGTACATACGTATATACGTCGTATATATACCTGTATGTATATATACATACGTATATATACGTATGTATACATATACGTATGTATATATACGTATGTATATACGTATGTATATATACATACAGGTATATATATAGGTATATATACATATGTATGTATGTATGTATATATAAATACAGGTATATAAACATATGTATATATACATATATATGTATGTATATATACATACAGGTATATATACATGTATATATACATATGTATATATGTATGTACATATACATATAGGTATATATACATGTATATATACATATGTATATATGTATGTACATATACATACAGGTATATATACATGTACATATACATGTATAGATGTATGTATATGTACATACAGGTATATATACAGGTATATATACAGGTATATATGTATGTATATATACATACCGGTATATATACATGTATATATACATACAGGTAGGTATATATACATGTATATATACATACAGGTAGGTATATATACAGACATGTATATAGACATGACATGTATATATACATAGATATATATGTATGTATACATGTCTATATACATATAGACATGTATGTGTATATACATGTGTATACGTGTATACACATACACATGCATGTGTATACGTGTATACACATACACATGCATGTGTATACACACATATACACATGCATGTGTACACACATACACATGCATGTGTACACACACATACACATGCATGTGCACACACACATACACATGCATGTGTATACACACATACACACATGCATGTGCATACACATGCATGTGTATACACATACACATACATGTGCATACACACATACATGTGTATAGACATACATACATGTGTATACACATATACACATACGTGTATACACATACACATGCATGTGTATACACATATACACATGCATGTGTATGCACATATACACATGCATGTGTATGCACATACATATATGTATATACACATATACACATATATACACATATATACATACTTATATACATATATACACATACATATATGTATGTGTATATGTGTATATATGTACACACATATACATATACACATAAGTACATATATACATCTATGTGTATATGTACACACATACATATATGTATATGTGTATATATGTATATATACATATAGATGTATATATGTGATCTATACATATATGGATATATACACATATATGTTATATATACACTATATATGTGATATATACACATATCACATATATATATACACATCACATATATATATATGGTAGATTAAAAACGCAGCCATAAAAAGGAAGGAATTAACAGCATTTGTAGTGACTAAGTGAAATAACTCAGGAATGGGAAACCAAACCGTATGTTCTCACTGATATGAGGTAACTAAGATATGAAGATGCAAAGTCATAAGTATGATACAATGGACTTTGGGAACTTGGGGGGAAGAGTGGGAGGAGGAAGTGGGATAAAAGACTACAAATATGGTGCGGTGTATACTGCTCGGGTGATGGGTGCACCGGTCTCACAAATCACCACTAAAGAACTTTCTCATGTGAGGAAATACCACCTTTACCCCAATAACTTGTGGTAAAAATTAAAAAAAAAGAATACTGAAAAAAAAACACTTATTGAGTAACTACTTTATGTAAGGCACTGTGATAGTTATTAGAGACACATGGTCAGAGCCCTCAAAGTGTTCAGAACCTTGTAATGGAGAAAGATATACATTTGTTTAAGTCACAAAATAAGATGTGACATCATAGAAGATACAAAAGTAGTAGGCAGCTAAGTGTGATGAACCCCAGGGAAAGAGGTTTGGTGATAATTTATAGAGAAAACATAAGTATAGAGAGTACGTTTTGAATGATGAATAAACCAACAATTTTCAGAGACAATATGAAAAACTAACATATGGGATAGAGGGAAAAGAATGTGTAAATATTTCTAAACATTAATGGAGGTACATTTTAGATTGTCCATGATGTCACCTAAGGATGAATTAAAGAGAAGTGAGATGATGAAATCAAGTCAGTTAGACGATTAACTGAATAATCTAGGTATGAAGTGATTATGATCTGCAATAAAGCTGTGAAATTGGGATAGAGAAGCAGCAAAAGATTCAAGTTTCAAGAAGGCTTTCAAATAGCCTGAATTTTTGCCTGTATGTACATTTAAAACTTTTGTGTATCTGTTATAACATCAATATGAAAATCTGATAAAGATTGCACACACATATACACACATTATCTCTCTACAGGAAAACCTCACTTATGAATACCGATACGAAAACCTTATACTTAAAAAGTATTAAATTTTTTTAAAAGAACAGAATAAAAAGAAGAGCAAAGAATCATAACACATCAGGACTTGGTGGAATTTATTACAGGAATGCTAAGATGGTCCAAATCACAAAATCCATTAGTAAAATTCACCATTTAAAAAGATCTATATCAAAATGAAATATCACCTCACACTTCTTAGGGTGACCACTGTCAGAAAAAAACAAAAAATAATAAATATTGGCAAGGATGTAGAAAAACTGGAATCTTTTTGCACTGCTGGTGGAAATATAAAATGGTGCAGCAACTACAGAAAATGGTATGAAGATTTCTCAAAAAATAAAAATAGAACTACCATATAATCCAGCAATATAACTTGTGAGTATATATCTAATAGAAGAGATAATTGCATACTTATGTTCATTGCAGCATTATTCACAATAGCCAGGAGTCAGAAACAACCTAAATGACCACCAATGAAAGAATGGATACAGAAAATATGGCATACACGTACAATTGAATACTATTCAGCAACGAAAAAGAAGGAAATCTTGTTACATACTACAAAGTGGATGAACCCTAAGGACATTATGCTAAGTGAAACAAGCCATCAAAAAAAGACAAATACCACATGATTTCACCTACTAGTTATATAAGTAGAATACAGAAACAGAAGGTAAAATGGTAATGGCCAGGGGCTGGGGGGAGGGGCAAGTAGGAAATTGTTGTTTAGGGAGTGTGAGAGACAGGACGAGGGTCTGTTGCACAACAATGTGCATGTGGTTGACAATATTGTATTGTACACCTGGAAACTGTTGAGAGGATAAATTTTATGTTGCATGCCTTTTTGCAACAATAATGCAAAAAGACATATGAATAAAAATTAATAATAATTCCCATAGATGCTAAGAATCACTCTCTCCCAAATTACTGATTCATCAAAAGTACCTCACAAGAAAAAAAAGCTATTGGCAAAATAAAAAAAAAAAAAACACATAAGTCTAAGCCCCAAATCCAGAATCTTACTTAATATAGAAACACAGGATGTATATTCATGCTAAAGTAGCTGTGTGTGTGTGTTTGGGTATCAGAAAGCACTACAGATAAATCTAACAAGAAACATGCAGAATCTATGTGAGGAAAACTTCGGGAAAGTGCTTAAAGGTATTTTACGCAACTACTAAATGTAAAAAACTAGACTGAACTAATGAAAGGACATCTTATGTTCTCAGACAGGACTACTCAACATTATAAAGATAATACTTCATACTAAACTAACACATACAGTTAACAGTTTCCCAGTAAAAATTAAAACTTTTCTTTTGGACTTAAGCAAGTTTATTTTAAAGGTTATATGGAAAAACAATCCAAGAATAACCAGGAAAAAACTTTTTAAAAAGTGCAAAGAGGCATATAATTCTTCAAGAAATTAAACATTTATAAAAAGATAATAAAAGCGGTATGGTATTGGCACATGAAGATTAGGAAAGATCAATGAAACAAGAAAGCCACAAAATAGGTCAGCTACATATGGAAAGTTATTATATAAAAAAGGTAATATCACAAATACCTAGGGAAAAGAAGTATTTTTAAAACTTGGACTGATAGAAACCTCATGCCTTAAGTCAACTTAAACTCCAAATGGATTAAAGAACTAAATTTTAAAAAGCATATTAGTACTAGAAGAAAATATGGTAAGTTCATTTGTAACTTGGAAGTGTGAAGAGTCTGGAGAGTCTAAACCCAGAAATAAAAGAAAAAATTGATCAATTTAACTACATAAAGAAGATAAGTCTTCTGCAAAGCAAGAGACACTATATGCAAAGACTAAACAAAATAAATCAAAAACCAATATTAAACTAGAAGAAAACATTTGCCACATAGCAAAACATACATGTTATTACTTTTTAATTTTTGTGGATACATAGTAGGCATATATATTTATGGGGCACATGAGATGTTTTGATACAAGGATACAATGTATAATAATCACATGAAAACTGGAGTGTTCATCCCCTAAAGCACTGATTCTTTGGGTTACAAATCATCTAATTACATTGTTTTCATTATTTGAAAATGTACAATTCAATTTTTATTCACTATAGCTACCCTGTTGTGCTAGCAAATACTAGATCTTATTCATTCTTTCTAATTGAATTTTTTGTATCCATTAACTATCACCACCCTCCCAACCCCACAACTACCTTTCCTAGCCTCTAGTAACCATTCTTCTACCCTCTTATTTCCATGAGTTCAATTGCTTTGATTTTAGATTCCATAAATAAGTGAGAACATGTGTTGTTTGTCTTTCTGTGCCTGGCTTGTTTCACTTAACATAACCTCCAGTTCCATCCATGTTGTTGCAAATGACAGGATCATTCTTTTTTTATGCTATTTTCTGGAGTTAGGCAAGTTGATTTTAAAGGTTATATGAAAAAGTAATCAAGAATAACCAGAAAAAAACTTTTTAAAAAATGCAAGGAGGTGTAACTTCTCAAGAAATTAAACATTATAAAACAATGATAATTATCATTATTAGATTATGTATAGATTATTAGATTGTGTTTAATTAACACATTTTGTTTAGTGATTCATTTGTTGATGGACACTTAGGTTGCTTCCAAATCTTGGATATTGTGAACAGTGCTGCAACAAACATGGGAGTGGAGATAGCTCTTTAATATACTGATTTCCTTTCTTTTGGGTATATATCCAGCAGTGGGATGCTTGATCATATGGTAGCTCTATTTTTAGTTTTTTGAGGAACCTCCAAACTATTCTCCATAGTGGTTGTACTAATTTATGTTACCATTGGTAGTGTATAAGGGTTCCCTTTCTCCATATCCTCATCAGCGTTTGTAATTGCCTGTCTTTGGGATATAAGTCATTTTAAACGAGGTGATATCATATCCAATTGTACTTTTGATTTGCATTTCTTTGATGATCAGTGATGTTGAGCATCCTTTCATATGCCCCTTTGCCATGTGTATGTCTCTTTTGAGAAATGTCTATTCAAATATTTGGCCTATTTCTTATTGAGATTATTAGATTTTTTCCTATACAGTTGTTTGAACTCCTTATACATTATATTAATCCCTTGCCAGATAGGTAATTTGCAAATATTTTCTCCCATTGTGGGTTGTCTCTTTATTGATTGTTTCCTTTATTGTATAGAAGTTTTTTAACTTGATGTGATCCTGTTTGTCTGATGTGATCCTGTTTGTCCATTTTTGCTTTGGTTCCCTATGCTTGTTATTACTCAAGAAATTTTTACCCAAAGGAATGTCCTGGGGAATTTCCTTAGTGTTTTCTTGTGGTAGTTCCATAGTTCAAAGTCTTAGATTTAAGTCTTTAATCCATTTTGATTTGATTTTTGTATATGGTGAGAGACAGGGGTCTAGTTTCATTCTTCTGCATACAGATACCAGTTTTCGCTGCAGCATTCATTGAAGAGACTGTCTTTTCCCAGTGCATGTTCTTGGCACCTCTATCAAAAATGAGTTCACTGGAAATGTGTGGAATTGTTTCTGGGTTCTCTATTCTGTTCCATTGGTCTATGTGTCTGTTTTATGCTGGTACCATGCTGTTTTGGTTACTATAGTTCTCATGCTGTTTTGGTTACTATACTTCTCATGCTGTTTTGGTTACTATAGTTCTGTAGTATAATTTGAAGTAAGAGAATGCTATTCCTTCAGTTTTGTTTGTTTTGCTTAGGATAACTTAGGCTATTCTTGGTCTTTTATGGTTCCATATACATTTTGGAATTGGTTTTTCAATTTCTGTTAATAATGTCATTGGTATTTTGATAGTGATTGCATTGAATAGATTGCTTAGGGTAGTATGGACATTTTAAACAATATTGATTCTTCTAATCCATGAACAGGGAATATCTTTCCATGTTTTGGTGTCCTCTTCAAAGTCTTTCATTAGTGTTTTATAGTCTTTATTATTGAGCTCTTTCACTTCCTTGGTTAATTCCTAGGTACTTAACTTTATTTGTGGCTACTGTAAATGGAACTACTTTAAAAATTTTTTTCAGACTGTTCACTGTTGGCATATAAAAATGCTACTGATTTTTGCATGTTGATTTTGCCTGCTGCAACTTTTTTGATTTTATCAATTCTAATAGGTTTTTTATGGCATCTTTTGGTTTTTCTAAATATAAGACCACATCATTGGCAAACAAGGATAATTTGACTTCTTTCTTTCCAATTTGGATGCCCTTTATTTCTTTCTCTTGTCTCATGCTCTAGATAGAACTTCCAGTAGAACTTAGAGTACTATGTTGAATAAAAATGAAAGTGGGCATACTTGTCATGTTCTATATCTTAGAGGAAAGCCTTTCAGTTCTTCCCCATTAAGTAAAATAGTAGCTGTGGGTCTGTCATACATGGCTGTTATTATATTGAGTTATGTTCCTTCTATATTCATTTTTTGAAGGTTTTTACCATGAAGGGATGTTAAATTTTATCAAATGCTTTTTCAGCATCAATTGAAATGTTCATATGTTTCTTGTCCTTCATTCTGTTATTATGATGTATCACACTGATTGATTTGTGTATCTTGAACCATTCTTGTATCCCAGGGATAAATCCCACTTGGTCATAATGAATAATCTTTTAAATATACTGTTGAATCCTGTTTGCTAGTATTTTGTTGAAGATTTTTGCATCAATATTCATCAGAGACACTGATCAGTAGTTTTCTTTTCTTGATGTCTTTGTCTGGTTTTGGTATCAGGTTAATACATTGCCTTGTAGAATGGGTTTGGAAGTAGTCCCTCATCCTCCATTTTTCAGAATATTTTTAGTAGGACTGGTATTAGTTCTTCGTTACATGTTTTGTAGAATTCAGCAGTGAAGCCTTCAAGTCCCAGGCTTTATTTCCTGGGAGACTTTTTATTACAACTTCAATCTAGTTACTCGTTATTGGACTGTTCAGGTTTTGGATTTCTTCATGGTTCAATCTTGGTAAATTGTGTGTGTCTAGGAATTTGTCCTTTTCTTCTAGATTTTCCAACTTATTGGCATGTAGTCATTCATAGCACCCACGAATGATCCTTTGAATTCCTGTTATAAGCTATTATGTTCCTTTTTCATCTCTGATTTTATTTATTTATTTTTTTAATTTAATTTTATTTATTATTATTATACTTTAAGTTTTAGGGTACATGTGCACATTGTGCAGGTTAGTTACATATGTATACATGTGCCATGTTGGTGCACTGCACCCACTAACTCGTCATCTAGCATTAGGTATATCTCCCAATGCCATCCCTCCTCCCTCCCCCCACGCCACAACAGTCCCCAGAGTGTGATGTTCCCCTTCCTGTGTCCATGTGTTCTCATTGTTCAATTCCCACCTATGAGTGAGAATATGCGGTGTTTGGTTTTTTGTTCTTGGGATAGTTTACTGAGAATGATGATTTCCAATTTCATCCATGTCCCTACAAAGGCCATGAACTCATCCTTTTTTATGGCTGCATAGTATTCCATGCTCTATATGTGCCACATTTTCTTAATCTAGTCTATCATTGTTGGACATTTGGGTTGGTTCCAAGTCTTTGCTATTGTAAATAATGCCGCAATAAACATACGTGTGCATGTGTCTTTATAGCAGCATGATTTATAGTCCTTTGGGTATATACCCAGTAATGGGATGGCTGGGTCAAATGGTATTTCTAGTTCTAGATCCCTGAGGAATCGCCACACTGCCTTCTACAATGGTTGAACTAGTTTACAGTCCCACCAACAGTGTAAAAGTGTTCCTATTTCTCCACATCCTCTCCAGCACCTGTTGTTTCCTGACTTTTTAATGATTGCCATTCTAACTGGCGTGAGATGGTATCTCATTGTGGTTTTGATTTGCATTTCTCTGATGGCCAGTGATGGTGAGCATTTTTTCATGTGTTTTTTGGCTGCATAAATGTCTTCTTTTGAGAAGTGTCTGTTCATATCCTTTGCCCACTTTTTGATGGGGTTGTTTTTTTTTCTTGTAAATTTGTTGGAGTTCATTGTAGATTCTGGATATTAGCCCTTTGTCAGATGAGTAGGATGCGAAAATTTTCTCCCATTTTGTAGGTTGCCTGTTCACTCTGATGGTAGTTTCTTTTGCTGTGCAGAAGCTCTTTACTTTAATTAGATCGCATTTGTCAATTTTGGCTTTTGTTGCCATTGCTTTTGGTGTTTTAGACATGACCTTGCCCATGCCTATGTCCTGAATGGTAATGCCTAGGCTTTCTTCTAGGGTTTTTATGGTTTTAGGTCTAACGTTTAAGTCTTTAATCCATCTTGAATTGATTTTTGTATGAGGTGTAAGGAAGGGATCCAGTTTCAGCTTTCTACATATGGCTAGCCAGTTTTCCCAGCACCATTTATTAAATAGGGAATCCTTTCCCCATTGCTTTTGTCAGGCTTGTCAAAGATCAGATAGTTGTAGATATGTGGCGTTATTACTGAGGGCTCTGTTCTGTTCCACTAATCTATATCTCTCTTTTGGTACCAGTACCATGCTGTCTTGGTGACTGTAGCCTTGTAGTATAGTTTGAAGTCAGGTAGTGTGATTCCTCCAGCTTTGTTCTTTTGGCTTAGGATTGACTTGGCAATGAGGGATCTTTTTTGGTTGCATATGAACTTTAGTTTTTTCCAATTCTGTGAAGAAAGTCATTGGTAGCTTGATGGGGATGGCATTGAATCTGTAAATTACCTTGGGCAGTATGGCCATTTTCACGATATTGATTCTTCCTACCCATGAGCATGGAATGTTCTTCCATTTGTTTGTATCCTCTTTTATTTCCTTGAGCAGTGGTTTGTAGTTCACCTTGAAGAGGTCCTTCACATCCCTTGTAAGTTGGATTCCTAGGTATTTTATTCTCTTGGAAGCAATTGTGAATGGGAGTTCACTCATGATTTGGCTCTCTGTTTGTCTGTTGTTGGTGTATAAGAATGCTTGTGATTTTTGTACATTGATTTTGTATCCTGAGACTTTGCTGAAGTTGCTTATCAGCTTAAGGAGATTTTGGGCTGAGACAATGGGGTTGTCTATATATGCAGTCATGTCATCTGCAAACAGGGACAATTTGGCTTCCTCTTTTCCTAATATAATCCCCTTTATTTTCTTCTCCTGCCTAATTGCCCTGGCCAGAACTTCCAACACTATGTTGAATAGGAGTGGTGAGAGAGGGCATCCCTGTCTTGTGCCAGGTTTCAAAGGGAATGCTTCCAGTTTTTGCCCATTCAGTATGATACTGGCTGTGGGTTTGTCATAGATAGCTCTTATTATTTTGAAATACATCCCATCAATACCTAATTTATTGAGAGTTTTTAGCATGAAGGTTGTTGAATTGTGTCAAAGGACTTTTCTGCATCTATTGAGATAATCATGTGGTTTTTGTCTTTGGTTCTGTTTACATGCTGGATTACATTTATTGATTTGCGTATATTGAACCAGCCTTGCATCCCAGGGATGAAGTCCACTTCATCATGGTGGATAAGCTTTTTCATGTGCTGCTGGATTTGGTTTGCCAGTATTTTATTGAGGATTTTTGCATCAATGTTCATCAAGGATATTGGTCTAAAATTCTCTTTTTTGGTTGTGTCTCTGCCCGGCTTTGGTATCAGGATGATGCTGGCCTCATAAAATGAGTTAGGGAGGATTCCCTCTTTTCCTATTGATTGGAATAGTTTCAGAAGGAATGGTACCAGTTCCTCCTTGTACCTCTGGTAGAATTCAGCTGTGAATCCATCTGGTCCTGGACTCTTTTTGGTTGGTAAGCTATTGATTATTGCCACAATTTCAGATCCTGTTATTGGCCTATTCAGGGATTCAACTTCTTCCTGGTTTAGTCTTGGGAGGGTGTATGTGTTGAGTAATTTATCCATTTCTTCTAGATTTTCTAGTTTACTTGGGTAGAGGTGTTTGTAGTATTCTCTGATGGTAGTTTGTATTTCTGTGGGATCGGTGGTGATATCCCCTTTATCATTTTTTATTGCGTCTATTTGATTCCTCTCTCTTTTTTTATTAGTCTTGCTAGGTCTACCAATTTTGTTGATCCTTTCAAAAAACCAGCTCCCAAATTCATTAATTTTTTGAAGGGTTTTTTGTGTCTCTATTTCCTTCAGTTCTGCTCTGATTTTAGTTATTTCTTGCCTTCCGCTAGCTTTTGAATGTGTTTGCTCTTGCTTTTCTAGTTCTTTTAATTGTGATGTTAGGGTGTCAATTTTGGATCTTTCCTGCTTTCTCTTGTGGGCATTTAGTGCTAGAAATTTCCCCCTACACACTGCTTTAAATGTGTCCCAGAGATTCTGGTATGTTGTGTCTTTGTTCTCGTTGGTTTCAAAGAACATCTTTATTTCTGCCTTCATTTCGTTATGTACCCAGTAGTCATTCAGGAGCAGGTTGTTCAGTTTCCATGTAGTTGAGCGGTTTTGAGTGAGATTCTTAATCCTGAGTTCTAGTTTGATTGCACTGTGGTCTGAGAGACCATTTGTTATAGTTTCTGTTCTTTTACATTTGCTGAGGAGTGCTTTACTTCCAAGTATGTGGTCAATTTTGGAATAGGTGTCATGTGGTGCTGAAAAAAATGTATATTGTGTTGATTTGGGGTGGAGAGTTCTGTAGATGTCTATTAGGTCTGCTTGGTGCAGAGCTGAGTTCAATTCCTGGGTATCCTTGCTGACCTTCTGTCTCATTGATCTGTCTAATGTTGACAGTGGGGTGTTAAAGTCTCCCATTATTAATGTGTGGGAGTCTACGTCTCTTTGTAGGTCACTCAGGAATCTTGCTTTATGAATCTGGGTGCTCCTGTATTGGGTGCATATATATTTAGGATAGTTAGCTCTTCTTGTTGAATTGATCCCTTTACCATTATGTAATGGCCTTCTTTGTCTCTTTTGATCTCTGTTGATTTAAAGTCTGTTTTACCAGAGACCAGGATTGCAACCCCTGCCTTTTTTTGTTTTCCATTTGCTTGGTAGATCTTCCTCCATCCTTTTATTTTGAGCCTATGTGTGTCTCCGCACGTGGTATGGGATTCCTGAATACAGCACACTGATGGGTCTTGACTCTTTATCCAATTTGCCAATCTGTGTCTTTTAATTGGAGCATTTAGTCCATTTACATTTAAAGTTAATATTGTTATGTGTGAATTTGATCCTGTCATTATGATGTTAGCTGGTGATTTTGCTCGTTAGTTGATGCAGTTTCTTCCTAGTCTCGATGGTCTTTACATTTTGGCATGATTTTGCAGTGGCTGGTACCGGTTGTTCCTTTCCATGTTTAGTGCTTCCTTCAGGAGCTCCTTTAGGGCAGGCCTGGTGGTGACAAAATCTCTCAGCATTTGCTTGTCTGTAAAGGATTTGATTTCTCCTTCACTTATGAAGCTTAGTTTGGCTGGATATGAAATTCTGGGTTGAAAATTCTTTTCTTTAAGAATGTTGAATATTGGCCCCCACTCTCTTCTGGCTTGTAGAGTTTCTGCTGAGAGATCCACTGTTAGTCTGATGGGCTTCCCTTTGAGGGTAACCCGACCTTTCTCTCTGGCTGCCCTTAACATTTTTTCCTTCATTTCAACTTTGGTGAATCTGACAATTATGTGTCTTGGTGTTGCTCTTCTTGAGGAGTATCTTTTGTGGCATTATCTCTGTTTCCTGAATCTGAATGTTGGCCTGCCTTGCTAGATTGGGAAGTTCTGCTGGATAATATCCTGCGGAGTGTTTTCCAACTTGGTTCCATTCTCCCCATCACTTTCAGGTACACCAATCAGATGTAGATTTGGTCTTTTCACATAGTCCCATATTTCTTGGAGGCTTTGCTCGTTGCTTTTTATTCTTTTTTCTCTAAACTTCCCTTCTCGCTTCATTTCATTTCATCTTCCATCGCTGATACCCTTTCTTCCAGTTGATCGCATCGGCTCCTGAGGCTTCTGCATTCTCCAAGTAGTTCTCGAGCCTTGGTTTTCAGCTCCATCAGCTCCTTTAAGCACTTCTCTGTATTGGTTATTCTAGTTATACATTCTTCTAAGTTTTTTTTCAAAGTTTTCAACTTCTTTGCCTTTGGTTTGAATGTCCTCCCATAGCTCGGAGTAATTTGATTGTCTGAAGCCTTCTTCTCTCAGCTCGTCAAAGTCATTCTCCGTCCAGCTTTGTTCCGTTGCTGGTGAGGAACTGCGTTCCTTTGGAGGAGGAGAGGCGCTCTGCTTTTTAGAGTTTCCAGTTTTTCTGCTCTGTTTTTTCCCCATCTTTGTGGTTTTATCTACTTTTGGTCTTTGATGATGGTGATGTACAGATGGGTTTTTGGTGTGGATGTCCTTTCTGTTAGTTTTCCTTCTAACAGACAGGACCCTCAGCTGCGGATCTGTTGGCATACCCGGCTGTGTGAGGTGTCAGTCTACCACTGCTTGGGGGTGCCTCCCAGTTAGGCTGCTCGGGGGTCAGGGGTCAGGGACCCACTTGAGGAGGCATTCTGCCTGTTCTCAGATCTCTAGCTGCGTGCTGGGAGAACCACTGCTCTCTTCAAAGCTGTCAGACAGGGACATTTAAGTCTGCAGAGGTTACTGCTTTTTGTTTGTGCCCTGCCCCCAGAGGTGGAGCCTACAGAGGCAGGCAGGCCTCCTTGAGCTGTGGTGGGCTCCACCCAGTTCGAGCTTCCCAGTTGCTTTGTTTACCTAAGCAAGCCTGGGCAATGGCGGGCGCCCCTCCCCCAGCCTTGCTGCCGCCTTCCAGTTTGATCTCAGACTGCTGTGCTAGCAATCAGAGAGACTCCCTGGGCGTAGGACCCTCTGAGCCATGTGCGGGATATAATCTCCTGGTGTGCCATTTTTTAAGCCCGTCGGAAAAGCGCAGTATTCGGATGGGAGTGACCCGATCTTCCAGGTGCCGTCTGTCACCCCTTTCTTTGACTAGGAAAGGGAACTCCCTGACCCCTTTCGCTTCCCGAGTGAGGCAATGCCTCGCCCAGCTTCGGCTCATGCATGGTGCGCACACCCACTGACCTGCGCCCACTGTCTGGCACTCCCTAGTGAGATGAACCCAATACCTCAGATGGAAATGCAGAAATCACCCGTCTTCTGTGTCGCTCACGCTGGGCCTCTGATTTTATTTATTTACATCTTCTTTTTTTCTTAGTCTAGATAAATGTTTGTCAATTTTGTTTAATTTTTCAAAAACCAACTTTTTTTCATTGATACTTTGTACTGTTTGCTTCATTTCAATGTCATTTATTTCTGCTCTAGTCCTTATTATTTATTTTCTGCTACTAATTTTGGGTTTGGTTTGTTCTTGCCGTTCTAGTTCTTTAAGATATATAGCTAAGGTGTTTATTTGTGGTTTTTCTTCTTTTTTGATGTAGACTTTTAGAGCTACGAACTTCCCTCTTAGTACTGCTTTTGCTGTATCCCACAGGTTTTGGTATATTGTGTTTCAATTATCATTTGTTTCAAGGAATTTTTCAATTTCATTCTTAATTTCTTCATTGACCCACTGGTCATTCAGGTGCATACTGTTTAATTTTCATGTATTTGTATAGTTCCCAAAATTCCTCATTATTTCTAGTTTTATTCCATTGTAGTTAGAAAAGATATTTGATATCATTTCAATTTTTAAAAATGTTTTAAGACTTGTTTTGTTGCCTAACGTATGTCTATCTTTGAGAATGATCCATGTGCTGAGGAAAAGAATGTCTATTCTGTAGCTACTGGATGAAATGTTCTGTAAATATCTTTTAGGTCCATTTGATCTATAGTACAGATGAAGTCTGGTTTTTCATCAGTGTTCTTTCTGGAAGATCTGTCTAATGCTGAAAAGAGGAATGTTGAAGTCTCCAACTATTATCGTATTGGGAGTGTGTCTCTTCCTCTTTCACTCTAATAATATTTGCTTTATGTATCTGGGTGCTTCAGTGTTGGGTGCATATATATTTAAAATTGTTATATCCTCTTTCTGAATTGACCCCCTTCATGAGGATGGAGCACTCATGGCCTAACTACCTCTTTAATGGTCTCATCTCTTAACATTGTTGCATTAGGGATTAAGTTTCATTAGGTTGCATCAGGAATTATAATGACCTTCTTTTGTCTCTTATAATTTTTGTCTTGAAATTTGTCTAATATACGTGTAGCTACTCTTGCTCTTTTTTGGTTTCTATTGGCTTGGAATATCTTTTTCCATCCCTTTATTTTCTGTCTATTTGTGTCTTTATAGGTGAAATGTGTTTCTTATAGGCAACAGATCATTGGGTTTTATTTTTTATCCATTCAGCCACTCTATATCTTTTGATTGGAGAGCTTAATCCATTGACAGTCAAAGTCATTATTGATAAGTAAAGACTTACTGCTGCTATTTTGTTATCTGTTTTTTGGCCGTTTTGTGGTCATTTCGTCTTTCCTTCCTTCTTGTCTTCCTTTTAGTAAAGCTGATTTTCTCTGGTGACATAATTTATTTTCTTACTTTTTATTTTTTGTGTATCTGTTGTATGATTTGGGTTTGAGTTTTTCATAAGGCTTGGAAATACAATCTTAGAACTCATGATTTTAAGCTGATAACAACTTAATTGTTTGCATAAAAAAATGAGCAAAGAAAACTAATAAAAACTCTACCCCTTAACTTCATTCCCTTGCTTTTTAACTCTCTGTTGTTTCTATATATATCTTTTATACTCTATGGCTTGAAAAGCTGATATAGTTATTATTTTTGACTAGTTCATCATTTAGTGTTTCTACTTCAGATATGAGTAGTTTACACACATTTACAGTGTTATATTTCGTTTTTCTGTGTACTTATTATTATCAGTGAGTTTTGTACCTTCAGATGATTTCTTCTTGCTCATTAACTTTATTTGCTTTCTGACTGAAGTACTCCTTTTAGTATTTTCTTGCAGAACAGGTCTGGTGTTGATAATCCCTCAGCTTTTGTTTGTCTAGGAAGTCTTTATTTCTACTTCATGTTTGAGGGAGATTTTTGCTGGATATACTATTTTAGGGTAAAAGGTTTCTTCCTTCAGCACTTTAAATATGTCATGCCACTCTCTCGGCTTGTAAGGCTTCCACTGCAAAGTCTGCTCCCAGACGTATTGCAGCTCCATTGTATGTTACTTGTTTCTTTTCTCTTGCCGCTTTTAGCATCCTTTCTTTATTCTTGATCTTTAGGAGTTTATTAAATGCCTTGAGGTAGTCTTCTTTGGGTTAAATCTGCTAGGTGTTCTATAACCTTCTTATACTTGGATATTGATATGTTTCTCTTGGGAGGTAAAAGGCCAATAACCACTCTTAGATTTGCCCTCTTGAGGCTATTTTCTAGATCCTGTAGGCATACTTCATTCTTTTTTATTTTTTCTTTTGTCTCCTCTGACTGTGTATTTTCAAATTGTCTGCTTTCAAGCTCACTAATTCTTTGTGCTGCTTGATCAGTTCTGCTGTTAAGATTCTAATGCATTCTTCAATATGTCAATTGCATTTTTCAGCTCTAGAATTTGTGCTTGATTCTTTTTAATTATTTCAATCTCTTTGTTAAATTTGTCTGATATACTTCTGAATTCCTTCTCTTTGTTATCTTGAATTTCACTTTCCTCAAAACAGCTATTTTGAATACTGTGTCTGAAAGGTCACATATGTCCATTTCTT
The DNA here is from genome assembly GCF_000001405.40 of Homo sapiens. NCBI lineage: Eukaryota > Metazoa > Chordata > Mammalia > Primates > Hominidae > Homo > Homo sapiens. Next base: position 39,696,603 of record NC_000012.12, on the reverse strand, counting down.
CAGGGTTGGTCCTTGGTGCGTTATTTTTTTTTTTTTTTTTTTTTTTTTTTTTTTTTTTTTTGAGACAGAGTCTCGCTCTGTCGCCCAGGCTGGAGTGCAGTGGCGGGATCTCGGCTCACTGCAAGCTCCGCCTCCCGGGTTCACGCCATTCTCCTGCCTCAGTCTCCCAAGTAGCTGGGACTACAGGCGCCCGCCACTACGCCCGGCTAATTTTTTGTATTTTTAGTAGAGACGGGGTTTCACCGTTTTAGCCGGGATGGTCTCGATCTCCTGACCTCGTGATCCGCCCGCCTCGGCCTCCCAAAGTGCTGGGATTACAGGCGTGAGCCACCGCGCCCGGCCCTTGGTGCGTTATTTAGTTCATCTGGTGAAGTCACTTTCCTGGATGGTCTTGCTGCTTGTAGATGTTTGTTTGTACCTGGGCACTGAAGAGTTAGCTATTTATTGCAGTCTTCACAGTCTGGGCTTGTTCTCATCCATCTTGGGAATGCTTTCCAGGAATACAAAAAGGACTTGGGTGTTGAGACCTAAGCTGTATCTGCTATAGGGGCACCCCAGGCCCAGTAATGCTGTGGTTCTTGCAGACTTGTAGACATACTGCCTTGATTGTCTTAGACAACATCTGGGAAAATGTTCTGAATTACCAAGCAGAGACTCTTGTCACTGCCCTTACTTTCTTCCAAATGAACAGTCTCTCTCTCTGTTCTCAGCCATCTGAAGCTAAGGGTGGAGGGACATAGCATCCCCATGGCCATGACCATCAGGATTGTGCTTGGTCAGATGTTAAACAGCACAGCACTGGGTCTTAACCAAAGTCCACTGTAACCACTACCTGGCTACTGCCTATGCTTTCTCAAGGCCCTAGGGCTCTGCAATCAGCAGGTGGCAAAGCTAGCCAGGCCTGTGTCCTTCCCTTCAGGGTGTCAAGTTCCCCCAGGCCCCAGGTGGATCCAGAAGTGCTGTCTCAGAACTGGGAGTCAGGGACTACAATAAAAAACCTTAGCAGTCTACCTGGTATTCTATTTTACTGGGGCTGAGCTTACATTCAAACCACAAGACACAGTCCTTCCCACCCTTCCCTTTCCAAAGGCAGATGAACCTCACCCCATGGCCATCACAACCCAGGCCTACAGGGAGTACTGCCAGCGTACCAGTGATGTTCCCTTAAGACCCAAGGGTTCTTCAGTCAGCTTGTGGTGAATGATGCCTAGGCTGCGAGTCACTCTTCAGGGCAGGAGGCTCCCCTCTGGTCCAGGGCAGGTCCAGAAATGCCATCCAAGAGCCAAGTCCTGGAATTGGGGACCCCAAGAGCCTACTTGGTATTCTACCCCCATGACTGTGCTGGTACCTAAGGTGCAAGACAAAGTCCCCTTTACTTTTCTCTCTGCTTTTTTCAAGTGAAAAGTCTTGTCCTATAGCCATCACAGCTGGAAATGTACTCAGGCCCACCTGATGCCACCAAGTATCAGAGTCTCACCCAAGGCCCTCAATGCAGTCCCTGGGCATCACTGATGGTTATTCAGGGCCCCAGGGCTCCTCAGTTAGCAGGTGATGAATCTTGCCAGGATTGGGTCCTTCCCTTCAAGGATATAGGTGTCCTTCTCACCCAAGGAGTGTCTAGAAATGTCATCTTGGAGCTAGGGCCTGGAAAGGGGGCATCATGACTCTGACCAGTGCCCTATCTTACTGTGGCTAATCTGGTATCCAGGATGTAAGATAAAGTCCTCCCCACTATTCCTTCTCCTCTCCTCAAGCAGAGGGAAGGGGTCTATTTTGGAGCTGCAAGCTGAGTGGTCTGGGTTACGGGAGGGGTGATTGCCACACTCCCTTAGCTGCCCCAGCTGGTGTCTCAATAGAACACGTGCCACCCCCAGTCCACGGTCTCTGGGCCTAGTTCAGCACTAGGACTCACCTAGGAGTTGCAGTTCTTGTGGCCTAGACTGCCTTTCAAATTTACTTAGAGCACCAGAGCACTTTAGCCCATAATAGGAGGGCTTATGCAAACTCAAGTATTGACCACTAGGATCAGCAATTCCCCTCTGGTTAGGGCTGGTTTAAATATTCCCTCCATGGGTAGGCATCAGCTGAGTTTGGTCCAATTTTGCTTTCTGTTATAACAAGATAGTGCTGAGTTCAATGCCTCAAAACTGCTGCACTGACTGTCCCTCTCCCCAGTACACAGAATCACTCTCCGCACCATGTCGCCACTCCCAGGGAATGGAGGAAGGGTGGCGTCAGTGACTCAAGACTGTTTTTCCTACCTGTTCAGTGCCTCTTTCAGTGATATAAAGTTAAAACCAGGTACTATGAGTGCTCTTATGCAGTTCTTAGGAAGGTGTTTTTTTGTGTGTAGATAGTTGTTAAATTGGTGCGCTTGCAGTGGGTGTCTTCTATTCAGCCATCTTGTTCCACCCCTCATCTACATCTTTCTAATATATAAGGATCCCTTAAATACCAAGAAAAAAAATGCCAAAACCCAAGGGGGCAAAAGATATAATAGAGAATTCACAGAAAAAGAATCGCAAATAGCCAATGAGCATTTTTAAAAGATGCTCAACTTCACACAGAGCGAAGCGCAAACTAAAACTTCTATCTATCCGTCCCCCTGTGAGATTCAGAAAAATTCCTAAGTTTGACCACAATCCCTGTTGGTGAGGCTGTGGAATAAAATGTACATTGCTATTGGTGCCAAATGGTGACACAAGGAACTTGGAAATATATATATATCAAAATTGAAATTCAGCAATATCCATCAAATACCAGCATATTTCTCCTTTAACTTAACAATGCCACTCCCAGAAATTACCCTGAAAATGAACCTCCACAAATAAGAAACATTGTACAAAATTGTTCACTTACAGTATTTGTAAGAAAAATATACTGGAAATAGCCCAAATGTCCATCAATAGGGCATTGACTGAAAAAACTACAGTTCATGCATGTAATGGACTACTAAATGGTCATAAGGATGAAGAAATACCTAGCACTAACACAGAGGAATCTATAGGAATATTTTATTAAATAAATAAATTCACTTAATTCTTTTATAAAATATTCTATATTACATTTAGAATGAGAAAGGCTGGAAACTAAGACTCATGGGTATTTACGTGTTTATATATTTTTAGGATTTATTTTTTTAAAAATGGACTGGAATGAGAAACCAGAAAGCAGAAAAAAAAAAAAATACTCATGTTGCAGAAGGAAATAGGGCAGGGAGGATAAGGATAGAAACCAGACTAGTATTTTACATATTCAAAAAATTAAATCATTAAAGGTTTCAAGGTATTCCATCAGACTAGATAACATGAAGGACTATGCTAGCATAGAATACCTAAAAGAGTACCAGATCGACATGAAACTTTGTCTGTAAAAAGACAGTACAGAATTAAAAGATCACTCAAACATGAAGTATTTGCTACACACAAGCCTACAAGCAGTCAGTATCCAGGACACATAAAATATACATAGGAGATATAGACATATTAAAGACACATTCCATAAAGAAAACCAAACTTCAGAAAAGGAACATGAGCAAATGACATTTCATAAATGAAACATTGATGGCCAATTAACCTAATTAGTAATCAGAGAAATATAAATTAGAACTACAATGAGCTATCAGATTACCAATAATGATAAAAGACTGAGATATTGTTGGTGAAAACATGTAACAACCAAGACTGTTATCCCTTGCTAAGAGGGGTACAACTGGAATAACCATTTAGGAAAATAATTTAGCATTACCTTGAAGATGCAAAGAAGTGCATATCATATGAACTAGCAATTCTACTCCTAGAAATATATCCTAGAGAAACTTTTTATACATGTGTGCAAGGAAAAATGTCAACAATACTCCAAGTAGCATTGTTCTTCATAGGAAAATATTCAAAACAACGTAAGCAAAATATTCAAAATAACCTAAATATCCATTGTTAGAAGATACATAAATTGTGATATATTCATACAGTAGAATGCTGTATAGCAGGAAAAATAATAAATGTACTAGAGCTACAAGTATCAAAGCAGATGAACTGTAAAATATAATATTGGGTGAAAAAAAAAAGCAAGTTGCAGAAAAATATATAGAGTTGGATCAATATATAGAAAGTTCAAAATAAAGCAGTTAAAAAGTCTGTGTTATAACAAAAAACAAATTCAAGGAAATAGTTACCTCTAGAGGGCAGGATATGAAATACAATTGAAGAAATCTTCAAAAGTATTATGTATTGTTTCTTAAGCTACCTAGGGAGTATGAGGGTTATCTGTTTTATTCTTATTTGCTAAACTGTACCTATACATTAATGTACTCATGTATATTTAATAAAATATAAAAGTAATTTTAACGAGTCAATTGCATTAGTAGTACTAAAATATCCATGATATATATTTGTTGGCAAACATCTAAAAAATCACTTCAAATTTAACTGATTTCTATTTAATTGTTAGTTTTTAAAATAGAGTAAAATTAACTTATACAGTTATACTGACAGATTTTCTTAGTAGATATTCGCTTGCTTTTTAAAGAATATATTCCTCCTTCTTCCATCAGAATCTAGGAGAAAACCAAAATGTTAACAATTCCTAAGTATACATAATAATATTCACTTATATCTACCTTATTTACACTACCAATTCATTTTATAGTACTTTTCTTTTACATTACTTCAGTTCAACATGGTTTATTTTTAAACCACAAAGAAAAATTAGCCTGTGGTAAACAATAAAATGAAATTTAAATTCGTTAAAAAACAACAAGCAACAGAATAGACACTTGCCAAGAAATGAATTACTGAGAAAAAGGAAAAGCTTCAGGTAATCATAGTAAATGCAGCTGAAGAAAGACAAACATATTAAGGCAATTTGGAAATTTGTTATTCTTTATTTAATTTCCTAAGTTAGATCATCAGTCGTTTATTATCAGGTTTTTTAAATAATAAAAGCTCTTAGAGGTATAACTTTCTACAGAACACACTATTGGTTTTGGTTTCCATCACTTTCTATGTAATTTGTACTTTATTTTCATTTCCTTTCTCTAACAAAGCAAACGAACCCTGAGTGTTTCTTTATTTCCAGGATGTTAAGGGAAGTTAAGTATCTCTTTTTAGTTGATTTCAATTTTATCAAATTTTGATTAGAGAATGTACCCATGAATCTCTCCTTAAATAAATGTCTTAGATTTTCTTTATGGCTTACTATATGAATTATGTTTGCATACATATCATGGGCTTATAAAAATTTTTTTCTATACATTCTCTGTTGGTAGGATATAGAATTTTAGATATATAAAATAAAGGAGAAATTGTCTAGCTGCTTCCCAAACCTGACTCCCTTTTTCTTGGACATACAGCTAGACTGTATTTCCCGGCCTCCCTTGGAATTGGTTTAGACATGTTACGTAAGTTCTGGTCATAGGCAGAAGTAACGTAAACTACTGCCGGTCCTGGTCCATAAAAATCTTCCCCACAATCCTCCACTTCCTTTTCCTTTCTTCTCTCTGGTAACAATAAACTGGGAGCCACCAGTTTAGGGCCTGAATAACTACATGGAGCAGAGCCCCTTCCCTAACCCCTCTATCTTATCATTTAAAAATCTTTTCTCTTCAAGTCATGACACATTCAAGCCCCAAACTTGCAAGAAGAACACAAAACTTTCAAGAAAGCTATGTAGACCCCACGGCAGGCCTGCACTCCAATACCTACTTCAGATCTGTTTGAGAAGGACAGCAAAGATCTTCCTAAAGGACAAGACACTAAGTTATTCACAAATGTCCTCCATCCTCCAGGATGGCAAGCCTTGCTATGGATCAGAAAATCTGCATCTCCTATTTTTCTCTTTTCCGAATGGGCTTTTTATTGCATTTATATGGTCTTTGCTCCAATAGTATATATGTTTTCTTAATGTATGTATTTTGCTATCTGTTTGCTTTCAACCTTTATTATATTCTAGATACGTTGCTTATAACCTATATTGATTTTTTCTTAATAATTTGATATTCTTTGAATCTTGAAAAGAATTCATATTCAATATATTAATTCATATTCAATATGTTAATTGCTATCATATTCAATATGTTAATTGCTAAGTGGGTTTCATTTTTAACACTGTATATAGAATTGCTATTTCATTTCTTCCCATCTTGATCCGGTTTCCTAGTGTGACATCATCACTCTTGAATTTTGTTCTTCCACGTCTCCACTTCTCTGGTGAATACGTTCCCATGTTAACAATTGTATTTTAACTTTATTCCTCTACTAAACCTTTAAAATTAAATAATTATACTCCTCTAATACTTTGTTCTTTCCTATTCTCTCCCACTCCCATCAAAGGCTCTTGAGAACACCACATGTCCCCATCCAAGAGGCTTGTTCTGTTTGCTTGTTTTAGCCCGTATGTCTCTTCATCAATTCTTCCTCAGCAGAATCTACCTGTTTTAATTTTACCTAACCTGTGGGCAGGTGCAACCCAGCCCTCTTTCTACTCCTACCCCTTCATTCCATCCCATTGGTGACTCTTGCCTTGGCCCCTCTGGTAGAACGTAATTTTAGTCAGGGTTCCACTGCACCTTTGGCCATGGCCAGGCATCACAATTTAAAGTCCCCATACCTGCTCTACCCAAGGAACTCCTCATAGCACCTGATTCCCTTTGGGCTACATCAATAGGCTTTTTTCTTTTTTGACTAGTTCTAGCTATATTCAAGCTGCCAGCTTTCTAGACATAGGTGTGGTCAAACAGAATTTGTTTTTGAAGTATTAAATTCTGTTGATAATTCATCTTTTGGGAGGATACATCTATATTATTCATATTTGGGGAAATATGAATTATTTAAAGGAATAACAGGACAGCTTCCATCACTACTGACCACATTTTCCTCCTTTTTCTTTCCTACGACACTAGTACTCCTCAAACCTCTCTAGTAGCTCATTCTCAGCCCCCTTTTCTGGTTCCTCTTCTACTTCATACCCTCCAACCTGAAATGTGCCTTCTCAGGAATTTGACAATTTTTGTTCTTATTCTATACACTTTCTCTCGAGAATCATATACTTGGATGTAGTCAATTATCTGCTATTCATAAAGGCTGAAACATCTCTTCTCACCTCAAGCCCTGTATATATAATTGCCTACTATACATCTCCACATAGATCACAGGTTTTTCAGAAGATCCTCACTTGAGCTCAGTGGGTCAAACTTACCTCTCTCAGAAATTGCTCCTCCTCTGAATCAGAGTGATGCTAGGTATTGTTTTTAAAAAGTATATCACAAAATGTATAATGCCAAACACAATCATTTCTCTCTTGTGTAATAATCTAAAGTGAGTGTTTCTGGTAAGCAGGCAATTTTCCTCCATGTAGTGATTCAGAGACCCAGTCCTTTCCATCTTGTGGCTCCATTATCCCTTGGGGCCTCACTACCATCTAGCCATCAAAGAAAGACAGCATGGAAAAATAATTCCCTTTTCTTATAAGCCTTAACCTAAAATGATGCACATCACTTCTCCGAACATTTCATTAGTGAGATCTAGCCATATGGCCACATGTACATGGATGGATGGTTAGGAAACATGTTCCTTGGCTGGGAAGCCATTTCATGGTGGCAGCTCTATTCTATTAAAAAGGGTACATTCTACAAAAAAAACGGTACATGGATTTTGATGGACAGTTAACCTTTTTCCTGCCACCTCCTCCTATGGTTTCAATCTTGTTCAGTAGCACAATCCCATCAACTACCCATTTACTCAAATCATAAATAAATCTAGGTCTTTCTCAATTTCTTCCTTCTCCCTTAACTAATCACCAATCACCAAGTACTATCAATTCTAGATCTAAATCTTCTCTTCTCTCATTTCATCCTTACTGCTATTGTAAAACTTCAAGCTCTCATTATTTCTTCCCCTAACTTGAGCTGTTCCACTTATCAAATCCCTCCTCATTGTTGCTAGAATCAACTTTTTTATTACGATGTCATCATATTCCTCTGCTAAAATTTGTTTAGTGGATCTCTGTTTAATGATCAATAATTAAACTGTTATATATCATACAAGGCCATTCATGACCTACCTTTTTGTATTGTCCAGAATTACCTAGGCCACTCCTGCACCCTTTATCATTAGTATTATAAATTGTAGCTATAACAATAACTAGAATGAAACAAGGTACTTGAAATTTCTAAAACAGGCTGTACTCTGACATCTTAGTATATCTATGTTGCTCTTTCTTCCCAATTTGACCATTTGGTAAACAACTTATTGATACTGTGCTCAAAAGTTACCTCCTCCATCACATCTTCCTCCTGTTTACAGATGAAACTTAGAAGTATCTGTTACTAATAACCCAAAACAAACTTTAATTCAAGCAATTTATCTAAATGCATTATATTTTTGTCTCTTTCTGACTAGCCACTAGATGAAGACTTCTTAAAGACAGGTTCCATGTCCTTTCATCTCTGTACCTTGCAGAGTCTAGTGCATAACAGAATATAATCTTGAGAACAAAGCACCATTTTATCCCCAGTGTCTAGCATACAGGAAACATTCAATAAGTGTCTTTATATGAATTCATAATATGTACTCAATAAACATTTATTGAAGAAAAAAGGGAAAACAGTATAGCTGAAAATATCAAGTCAGATAAGACAGACAGTTTGAATCTTGGCTTGAGAGTGTGACCTCAAACAAGTTATCTAATCTCTTTACATTTCAGTCTCTTTTGCTGTGAAGACTTTAGCAACTCAGGCTCCTGTAGATTAGAAATAAACTACATAAACTTCCTAGCACTGTTGTAAAAATTACACCCTTATGATGGCAAGGGATTATAACATTACATAAGCAGTGTTTATAGATATTTCAATAGTATGGCAAATATAAAATTATGTAGCACATTGAAACCTAAAGCATTTTCATGTTGAAAGATGATATGGTTTGGATCTTTGGGTACCCCCCGGCAAATCTCATGTTGAATTATAATCCCCAGTGTTGGAGATGGGGCCTGGTGGCAGGTGACTGAATCATGGGAAGTAGTTTCTCCTGAATGGTTTCGCACCATCCCCCTTGGTACTGCCCTTACAATAGTGAAGTTTGCTGTCATGAGATCTGGTTGGTTAAAAGTGTGTGGCACTCCCACCTCACTCTCTCTTGCTCCTGTCTTTGCTGTTTGAGATGCCACACACCTGCTTCACCTTCCACCATAATTCTAATTTCCTGAGGCTTCCCCAGAAGCCAATTCTTCCCCAGAATCCTGCTTCCTATACAGCATGTGAAACCGTGAGCCAATTAATCTATTTTCTTTATAAATTACCCAGTCTCAAGTATTTTTTATAGCAATGTGAGAACAGACTAATACAGAAAATTGGTGCCAGGAGCGGAATTTTGATATAAAGATACCTGAAAATGTGGAAGGAATTTTGGAACTTGGTAATGGGCAGAAATTGGAAGAGTGTGGCAGGCTCAGAAGAACACAAGATAAGGGAAAGTTTGGAACTTCGTAAAGACTGGCGGTGGAATGGTTATAACAAAAAAGGCTGAAAATGCTGGTAGTGATATTGATAGTGAAGTTGAGGCTGAGGAGGTCTCAGATACAAATGAGGAACTTATTGGGATCTGTAGCAAAGGTCACTTTTGTTATGTGTTAGCAAAGAACTTGGCAGCACTGTGCCCCTGCCCTAGGGATCTGTGGAACTCTGAACTTGAAGGTGATTAATTTAGGATATCTGGCAGAAGAAATTTCTAAGCAGCAAAGCATTGAAGATATGGACCAGCTGCTTCATAAGAACCACCTATGTTCATATGTGTGAGCAAAGAAATGATATAAAACTGGAACTTATATTTAAAACAGAAGCAGAGCATAAAAGTTTGGAAAATTTGCAGCCTGGCCATGTGGTAGAAAATAAAAGCCCATTTTCCGGGAAGGAATTCAAGCAGGCTGCAGAAATTTGCATAAGTAAAAAACGAGCTAAGTGCTAATAGCCAAGGCAATGGGGAATAGGTCTCAATGGCATTTCACAGAACTTCATGACAGCCCCTCCTATCACATGCCTGAAGGCCTAGGATGGAAGAATGGTTTCCTGGGCCAGGCTCAGGGCCCTGCTGCTCTGTGCAGCCTCAGAACACTGCTCCCTGTATCCCAGTCACTCCAGCTCCAGCCATGGCTCAAAGGGGCCCATGTACAGCTCAGTCTGCTGCTTCAGAGGATGCAAACTGTAAGCCTTGATGGCTTCCATGTGGTGTTAAGCCTGTGGGTGCACAGAGTGTAAAAGTTAAGCCTTGAGAGACTCCACCTAGATTTCAAAGGATGTATGCAAAAGCCTAGATGTTCAGGCAGCAGTCTGTTACACAGGTGGAACTATCATGGATAACCTCTACTAGGGCAGAGTGGAGAGGCAATGTGGAATTGGAGCCCCCACAGAGAGTCTCCAATGGGGCACTGCCTAGTGGAGCCATGAGAAGAAGACCGCCATCCTTCAGACCCCAGAATGGTAGATACACCAACAGCTTGCACCTAGCTCCTGGAAAAGCCACAGGCACTCAGCCCCAGCTCATGAAAGCAGCCACAGGGGCTGAACCTTGCAAAACCACAGAGGCAGGGCTGCCCAAGGCTTTTGGAATCCACCTCTTACACCAGTGTGTCTGGATGTGAGATATAGAGTCAAGGGAGATTATTTTGGAGCTTTAAGATTTGTGACTGCCCTGTTGGGTTTCAGACTAGCATGGGGCCTGTAGCCCCTTTCTTTTGGCCTATTTCTCCCTTTTGGAATGTAAATATTTACCCAATGCTTGTACCGCCATTGAATCTTGGAAGTAACTACCTTATTTTTGATTTTACAGGCTCATAGATGGAAGAGACTTGCCTTGTATCAGGTGAAACTTTGAACTTTTGAGTTAATGCTGGAGTGAGTTAAGACTTTGGAGAACTGCTGGAAATGCATGATTGTATTTTGCAATATGGGAAGGACATGAGATTTGGGGGGCTGGGGGTGGAAAGATATGGTTTGGATCTATGTCCCTGCCAAATCTCATGTCAAATTATAATCCTGAGTGTTGGAGGTGGGGCTTGGTGGGAGGTGACTGGATCATAGCAGGGCAGTGGTTTCTCCTGAGTGGTTTAGCACCATCCCTCTTGGTGTTGTCCTCATGATAGTGAGTTTGTTCTCCTGTGATCTGGTCATTTAAAAGTCTGTGGCACCTCCCTACTCACTCTCTCTTGCTCCTGCTCCTGCCATGTGAGACTCCTTGCTCCCCCTTTGCCTTCTGCCATAATTAGAAGTTTCCTGAGGCCTGCCCGAAACCAATCAGATGCCAGCATCATGCTTCCTGTACAGCCTGCAGAACCATGAGCCAACCAAACCTCTTTTCTTTATAAATTACCCAGTCTTAGGTATTTCTTTATAGCAATGCAAGAATCAACTAATACAGAAGTTTTGTAATACTTAAAAAATGTGTTTAAAATGTCCTCAAGATTTTGTCTCAAATAAAACATGTTAACAGTCTCTGAAAACGTGTTTTTATTTCTAGATCTAAGCTATAATTTCCTCAGAATAAAAAAGTATAAGAAAAAGAGTCCATCCAATAAAAATTAATGAATAAATGTTAAGCTTAAATCAAAGTGAACGTTAAATACAGTAATGTGATATGGTAATACAAACTGACTTAATTGAGAAGATAATGTGAGACTGTGCTTTACCTCATCAAGTCCAAAGTCCCATGACTGCTTAGAGTGCAATTCTTCCGAAGGTATATTTCCCCTAAGGATTATAAATACACAGTATCAAAGTTTGTTGTGTTCCCTCTGGGAATTATTGTTCTAAATTAGAGTTCCCAAACTTGGCTTCAGATCAGAATTATATGGGAAGCTTTCTTAAAAATAAAGATTCATAAGCTCCATGCCAAGGAGCCCACCTATTATGTGCGGGTCAATCTTGGTATTCTATAGTTTAAAATCACTACCTCAAGTAATCTGGACCTGCAGTCAGGATTGGGAACCATGTTCTAAATTGCTTTCATAAGGTACATTTAAAACTCAAGGCCTAACATGATTTTTTCACTCATAAATTTCTAGATATTGGGAGATATAACAACAAAAATACAAATTTGCCAATTTTATGAAATGTTTTGTAAGTCTATGTTTTAATTAATTTGTAGTGCCAATCCCACTAAAATTGCATCTTTTTATCAATCAATATTTTTAATAATTCCACAAGAAATCACTTCCAGAATAAAAATTTATTCTAGTTCATGATTTCCAACCAGAAAGATTTGGCTAAATTGTAATTATTACCAAGAAAGTTAGGACTATTACCAAGAAAGTTAGGACTATTTTAGCTAGAAACTACTAGCTAAAATAAAGTTTTCTTTAGTTACTTATAATTGCAGGTCATTATTCAGAAAAGCCTGGAAGGCAGTTCTCAAACTTTTAAGGAATAAATTTAACATCAACACATAATGGATGAGTGTAAAAATCACCTTAAACTCAGAACATTTTGTACACCAGCTGCAAGAAGAGAAAGAAAAATCTGGTGAAACATAATTGTTTTCAATGTATGGGTAGAGGAGATTGTAATCTTGAACATAGAGAAAACATGGAGTCTCTGAGAGGTAAATGTTGGCAATGAGAAGAGTGCTCTATCCCTAAAATGTACACTGTCCTATAAACTGCTGATATGCTTGCTTATGCCACTAACATCTGAATTCTATCACTCCCTATAGTGATTCTATACCAACCAAGCAAGCAACCTTCCCACTGAGAGCTGTTTGAAAGTAAGAAAATATGCTTTTTCATGTCAATAAGACTTCCTATACATGTTCCCTTTCTATTTATTACTTTAAGTTAATAAATTGACATTCTGGCGGATATGAGTTTCTTGAACACATTAAATCAATTTCCTCAAATCTAATCAACACTAATATTCAGATAAGAAGGTATTTGGGAGCTGGCAAATATGAGCACCACACTCTCAACTGGGGTGATATTATCAACACTGTGACTCCTGGTAAGGCTCCTTTGAGACCAGGTTGCCTGCCCACCCTCAAATGGCAATACGCCTACCTCACTTTGCATCAATTCAACATTCATCATGCATCATACTAGATCCTGATTTGTATTCCCCAGATTTACCTAAAAACTTACATAGAGTTTGCTGGATATTTCTGAATACTTTTCTGTGGTGTCTTCTCTTGGTAATCATTTTCAAATTTTTCTTAAAAAATAAAAGTATGCACCGAGTTAAAAATTTAGCATAGTCTATTTTCATTTTTTAATTCAAAGCATATTCACATGACACGTACAGAGGAAAACCACTGGTCCACAATGTTATATAATAGGAAGCCATTCTATTTTTGGTTTCATTTTCCTCCAAACACATAAACACACATACAAATATATAGATGTGTGTGTATGAATATACAAATATATATACTAAAACTGAAAGAAAAAAAGAATATGTAATTACATTTTCCATGTACAATACCAACCTTTTCTTTCAGAGCTGCTTGGGTAGTAATCGTTCTCAAAAGATGTACTAAGATCATTTCTTTCATTTTTGTTATACTCTCTCTGATACTTCTTGTTTGGCTGACATTTTTCTGGATAACTTGTTTTATTCAAAGTCGAATTACTAAAAGTCAACTCTGGAACTGTAAAAATGTTTCTAATGCATCTGTCAGTGACATGGTTTTTATCAGAACTAGTGACTACACAAGTATCTCCCATACTATCATAATCACACTTGTTAAATGTTTTCTTTATCCTTTGCTCATCTATGTTTAATACATTGATCATATTTTGACTAACAAAAGAGTCACAATTCTCTGATAGAAGGTTAGGAGTAGACTGGTTCACATCTTCAAGAAAATTTGAAACTTCCTTTCCATTTTTCCCCCAAATATGCTGTATTGAGTGTTTTTCAGTAATGTAGTCTGACTGTCTTATTTCATCCGTGCTTCTACAATCTTCATCCATAATTACAGCAGGGCTTTTAGTAAGTAAATTCCTATTTCCTAGACTTTGGGATAAACAAAAACATATTTAGCAAGAAAAGCATGGATTATTTGCATTTAGAAACTCTTACTTTCAATTCTTAGAGGACATATTGAGTTGCTACTAACATTTACCTAGACTATGTTTTTATTTTTTATATTTAAATAAATAATATTGCTTTGGGTGAAAATTTGTCTAATGTGGTCTTCTAATGACTTATTGAGTAAGAAAATAATCTACGGCCAGTTTTTTATTACAACATGAAATGTTAGCATGAGGTTTAATTAAAACATGACCAACCTATAGTATATTTTCTATAATAAAATCTAAAGAATAAACTAGACAACCACTATATGTCATTGCTGTTCCATTTAACCAGAGAAAGATGTTTTGAAGGCTGTGCAGAGAAAATTTATCACCAGTGTTAAAACATAAAATCAAATAGTTATGAGACCATTATAACATATTTTTCAACCTAATATGGATATAAAAACAATTATAAAGTTCCCAAGGAAGAGCAATATAAATACAAATGTGTATATACATAATAAAACCAAGAGATAAGGTGAATTAGATAAAAACTAATTAGATGAGTTAGATAACTTGTAAGTTCTATTCTAATGCAGAAATAATTCTAGGTTAAGTCCAATTTGTGCACAAGAATCAAAGATATAGTGGAAAATAATTACAAATCAAGATGTTTCTTATTTTATTGTCAGTGACTACAAATTTATTTGGAAGTGAGTTGTTCCAGAGGTTGGAGTTATCAAAAAAATTAGGAAAAAAAACCACAGATTGCTAAAACTCTAATAACTATTTTTAAATTATTTATCAAATATTTGATGATCACCTACTCTGTTCCAGGTACTAGGCCATATATTGGCAATAGAGAGATAAAAGAGCTCAGCTTGTTGTTAAAGAGAGAGATTAATGTTTTACCCATGAATGTTCACAGCTCATGATCCTACGTTGTTTCTCAATGAGGGCCTTATTGGTGTTTTAGACAGAATGATGTTATTTTGCTATACCAAAAGACACAGTATATAGTATGCACTAATATACACCATTAACATGAGGAAAATATCTGTTACTCTACATAAAATAGAGGTAAATGCACTTTATAAGATATTAAGCACACTATAAATGTAAATCTTTTTTTATTATTCTTTCAATAGTTTTTGGGAAATGGGTGATGTTTGGTTACATGAACAAGTTCTTTAGTGGTGGTTACTGAGATTTTGGTGCAGCCATTACCCAAGCAGTGTACACTGTACCCAATGTATAGTCTTTTATCCCTCATCCCTCCTCCACCCTCCACCAGAGTCCCCAGAATCCATTATATCAATCTTTTTTGTGTGTGTGGGAGATGGAGTTTTGCTCTTTTCATTCAGGCTGGAGTGCAGTAGTGCAATCTTGGCCCACTGCAACCTCTGCTTCCTGGGTTCAGGCAATTCTCCTGCCTCAGGCTCCTGAATAGCTGGGATTACAGGTGTGTGCCACCACACCCGGCTGACTTTTGTGTTTTTAGTAGAGACAGGGTTTCACCATGTTGGCCAGGGTGGTCTCAAACTCCTGACTTCAGGTGATCCACCTGCTTCAGCATCCCAAAGTGCTGGGATTATAGGTGTAGGCCACCACACCCGGTCCATTATATCAATCTTATGCCTTTGTGTCCTCAAAGCTTAGTTCCCACTTATAAGTAAGAACGTAACAATGTTTGGTTTTCCATTCCTGAGTTACTTCAGTTAGAATAATAGTTTCCAACTCCATCTAGGTTGCTGTGAATGCCATAATTTCATTCCTTTTTATGGCTGAGTAGAATTCCATGGAGTGTGAGTGTGTGAGAGAGTGTGTGTGTGTGTGTGTGCGTATGTATTTTCTTCACCCACTCATTGGTTGATAGGCATTTAGGCTGGTTCCATATTTTTGTAGTTGTGAATTGTGTTGCTATAAACATGCACATGCAAGTGTCTTTTTCATATACTGACTGATTTTCCTCTGGGTAGAAACCCAGCAGTGGGATTGCTGGATCAAATGGTAGTTCACTTTTAGTTCTTTAAGGAGTCTCCATACTGTTTTCCATAGTGGTTGTACTAGTTTACATACCCACCAGCAGTGTAAAAGTATTCCCTTTTCACCACATCCATGCCAACATCTATTATTTTTTCATTTTTTAATTATGACCATTCTTGTAGGAGTAAGGTGGTGATTGCATTGTGGTTTTGATTTGCATTTCCTCCATCTTTAGTGATGTTGAGCATTTTTTCATATCTGTTGACCACTTGTATTATCTTCTTTTGCAAATTGTCTATTCACATACTTAGCCCATTTTTTGATGGGATTACTTGTTTTTTTCTTACTGATTTGAGTTCCTTGTAGATTCTGGATGTTAGTCCTTTGTCAGATGCATAGTTTGGGAAGATTTTCTCCCACTTTCTGGGTTGTCTGTTTACTTTGCTGATTATTTCTTTTGCTGTGCAGATTTTTATTTTAATTAGGTTCCATTTGTTTATTTTTGTTTTTGTTGCATTTGCTTTTGGTTCTTGGTCATGAATTCTTCGCCTAAGCCAATGTCTAGAAGAGTTTTTCCGATGTTATCTTCTAGAATTTTTATGGCTTCATGTCTTAAAGTTTTTTATCAATCTTGACTTGATTTTTATATAAGGTGAGAGATGAGGATCCAGTTTCATACTACATGTGGCTTGCCAACTATCCCAGCACCATTTGTTGAATAGGGTATTCTTTCCCCACTTTATGTTTTGGTTTGCTTTGTCGAAGATCAGTTGACTTTAAGTATTTGGCTTTATTTCTGGGTTCTCTATTCTGCTCCATCTGTCCACATACCTATATTTATACCAGTGCCATGCTGTTTTGGTAACCATAGCCCTGTAGTATAGTTTGAAGTCAGGTAATGTGATGCCTCCAGATTTGTTCTTTTTGCTTAGTCTTCCTTTGGCTCTGTGGGGTTTTTGGGGTGCATATGAGTTTTAGGATATTTTTTCTAGTTCTGTGAAGAATGATATTGGTATTTTGATGGGAATTGCATTGCATTTATAGATTGCTTTTGGCAGTATGGTCATTTTTACAGTATTAATTCTACACATCCATGATCATAGGATGTGTTTCCATTTGTTTGTGTCATCTATGATTTCTTTAAGAAGTGTTTCTAGTTTTTCTTGTAGATATCTTTCACCTCCTTGGTTAGGTGTATTTTATTTTTTGCAGCTGTTGTAAAAGGGGTTGAGTTCTTGATTTGATTCTCAGCTTATTCAGTGTTGATGTATAGCAGTTCTACTGCATTGTGTACATTGATTTTGTACCCTGAAACTTTACTGAGTCCATTTATCAGATCTAGGAGCTTTTTGGATAAGTCCTTAGGGTTTTCCAGGTATACTATTATGTCATTGGTGAACAGCAACAGTTTGAGTTCCTCTTTATCTATTTGGATGCCCTTTATTTCCTTCTCTTGTCTGATTGCTCTGGCTAGGACTTCCAGTACTACGTACAATAGAAGTGGTGAACTCTTGTCTGACTGTTCTGGCTAGGACTTCCAGTACTATGTTGAATAGAAGTGGTGAAAGTGGGCATCCTTGTCTTGTTCCAGTTCTTGGGGGGAATGCTTTCAACTTTCCCCCATTCAGTATAATGCTGGCTGTGGGTGTGTCATAGATGGCTTTTATTATCTTAAGGTATGTCCCTTTTATGCTGATTTTGCTGAGGGTTTTAATCATAAAGTGATACTAGATTTTGTAAAATGCTTTTTCTGCATCTATTGAAATGATCATATAATTCTTATTCTTAATTCTGTTTATGTAGTGTATGATATTTATTGACTTATGTGTGTTAAACCATCCCTGCATCCCTGGTATGAAACTCACTTGATCATGATGTATTATCTTTTGGATATGCTGTTGGATTCAGTTAGCTAGTATTTTGTTGAGGATTTTTGCATCTATATTCATCAGGAATATTGGTCTATAGTTTCCTTTTTTTTTTTTTTTTTTTTGTTATGCCTTTTCCTGGTTTTGGTATTAGGGTGATACTGGCTTCACAGAATGATTTAGGGAGGATTCTCTCTTTATCTTTTGGAATAATTTTCAGTAGGATTGGTACCAATTCTTCTTTGAATGGCTGATAAAATTCAGCGTGAATCCATCTGGTCCCGGACTTTTTTTTTGTTGGCAAGTTTTAAAAATGCTGTTTCAATCTCACTACTTGTCATTGGTCTGTTCAGAGTTTCTATTTCTTCCTGGTTTGATCTAGGAGGGTTGTATATTTCTAGGAATTTATCAATCTCCTGTAGATTTTCTAATTTGTATGTGTAAAGGTGTTCACAGTAGCCTTGAATAATTGTTTGTATTTCTGTAGTATCAGTTATAATATCTCCCATTTTGTTTCTAATTGAGCTTATTTGGGTCTTCTCTATTCTTTGTTAATCTTGCTAATGGTCCATCAATTTTATCTTTTCAAAGAACCAGCTTTTCATTTCATTTATCTTTTGTATTGTTTTTTCTGTTTGTTTCAATTTCATTTAGTTCTGCTCTGATCTTTATATTTCTTTTCTTCTGCTGGGTTTGGGCTTGGTTTGTTCTTGTTTCTCTAGTTCCTTGAGGTGTGACCTTAGATTGTCTATTTGTGCACTTCCAGACTTTTTGATGTAGGCATTTAATGCTATTAACTTTCCTCTTAGCACCACTTTTGCTGTATTCCAGAGGTTTCGATAGGTTTTGTCACTACAACTGTTCAGTTCAAAGAATGTTTAGATTTCCGTCTTGATTTCATTGTTGACCCAAAGATCATTTAGGAGCAGATTATTTAATTTCCATGTATTTGTACAGTTTTCAGGGTTCCTTTTGGAGTTGATTTCCAATTTTATCCCACTGTGTTCTGAGAGAGTACTTGATATAATTTGTGTTTTCTTAAATTTATTGTGACTTGTTTTGCAGCCTATCATATGGTCTATCTTGGAGAATGTTCCATGTGCTGATGAAAAGAATGTATATTCTGCAGTTTTGGGGTACAATATTCTGTAAATATCTGTTAAGTGCATTTGTTCTAGGGTACAGTTTAAGCCTATTGTTTCTTTGTTGACTTTCTGTCTTGATGACCTCTCTAATGTTGTCAGTGGGGTACTGAAATCCCCCACTATTATTTGCCATCTATCTCATTTCTTAGGTCTAGTGGTAATTGTTTTATAAATTTGGGAGCTCCTGTGTTAGGTGCATATGTATTTAGGATTGTGATATTTTCCTGTTGTTCTAATCCTTTTATCATTATATAATGTCCTTCTTTGTCTTTTTTAACTGTTTTTGCTTTAAAGTCTGTTTTGTATGATATAAGAATAGCTACGCCTGCTCGCTTTTGGTTTCTGTTTGCATGGAATATCTTTTTCCACCTCTTCCCCTTAAGTTTATGTGAATTCTTATGTGTTACATAAGTCTCTTGAAGACAATGGATACTTGGTGGATGGATTTTTATTCATTCTGACACTAAATGCTAAAGTGAAGCATTTAGGCCATTTATATTCAATGTTAGTATTGACATGTGAAGTACTTTTCTATTCATCATGTTAGTTGTTGCCTGGATATCTTGGTGTTTTTTTTTTTTTCATTGTGTTATTGTTTTACAAGCCCTGTGAGATTTCTGCTTTAAGGAGGTTCTATTTTGGTGTATTTCAAAATTTAGAACTCCTTTTAGCATTTCTTGTAGTGCTGGCTTGGTAGTGGTGAATTCTCTCAGCATGTTTGTCTGAAAAATACTTTATCTCACATTATGAAGCTTAGTTTCAATGGATAGAAAATCCTTGGCTTATATTATTTTGTTTAAGGAGGCTAAAGATAGGATCCCAATTCCTTCTGGCTTGTAGGGTTTCTGCTGAGAAATCTCTTGTTAATCTTACAGGTTTTCCTTTGTAGGTTACCTGATGCTTTTGCCTCACAGTTCTTAAAATTCTTTCCTTTGTCTTGACTTTAGATAACTTGATAACTATTTACCTAGGTGATCATCTTTTTGTGATGAATTTCCTGGGTGTTCTTTGAGCTTCTTGTATTTGAATATCTAGATCTCTAGTAAGACTAGGGAAGTTATCCTCGATTATTACCTCAAATAAGTTTTCCAAACTTTTAGATTTCTCTTCTTACTCAGGAACACTGATTATTCTTATGTTTGGTTGTTTAACATAATCCCAAATTTCTTGAAGGCTTTGTTCATTTATTTTTTATTAATTAGTTTTTCTTTGTCTTTGCTGGATTGGGTTAATTCAAAAGCCTTGTCTTCAAACTCAAGTTCTTTCTTCTACTTGTTCGATTCTATTGTTGAAACTTTCCAGTGTATTTTGTATTTCTCTAAGTGCATCTTTCACTTACAGAAGTTTTGATTGTCTTTTCTTTATGACATCTATTTCTCTGAAGACCTTTTCATCCATATCTGGTTTTTTTTTTTTATTTCCTTAAGTTGGTGTTCTCCCTTTTCTAGTACCTCCTTGAGTAGTATATTAATCAACCTTCTGAATTCTTTATCTGGCAATTCAGAGATTTCTTCTTGGTTTGGATCCATTGCTGGAGAACTAGTGTGGTCTTTTGGGGGTGTTACGGAAACTTGTTTTGTCATAGTACCAGAATTACTTTTCTGGTTCCTTCTCATTTGGATGGACTGTCTCAGTGGAAAGGATCTGGAACACAGGGGCTGCTGTTCAGATTCTTTTGTCCCACAGGGTGATCCTTTGATGTGGTGCTCTCCCTGTTCCCCTATGGGTGGGGCTGCACATGAGCCAGACTGCAGTGATTGGGTCTAGCCCCCCAGTGAGGCTATCAGGCTCCAGGTTGGTGCTGGGTAATGTCTACAAAGAGTCCTGTGATGTGATGAGGTGATCCATCTTCAGGTCTCCCAGCTGTGGATACCAGCACCTGCTCCAATGGAGGTGGCAGGGGAGTGATGTGGACTCTGTGGGAGTCCTTGGTTGTAGTTTTTAATGCACTGGTTTTCTCAAATGCTGCTTATGCTAGCAGTGAAGTTGTCACATGAACAGACTCAGGACCTCTGGATAGCCAGGATGTTGCACGTGGTAGAATTAGCTGTTGTTTTCTCCTTCTTTGGAGCAGGCTTGTTCTGAGTTGCTATAATGGACTGAGTTGGCTGGCCTCCAGCCCAGAGGTGGCACTTTCAAGAGAGCACCACCTGTGGTAGTAGAAGGGGTATGCAAGTTTGCCCTACATTGGCCAGGATAAATTTTCAGGTTTCTCAAGCAATAGGTGGGGCCATAGAGTTCCCAAGAGTTTATGTCTTTTGTCTTTGGCTACCAAAGTGGGAAAAAAAAAATCAGGTAAGGGCAGAGTTAGAAAGGTCTGTGCTCAGACCCTCCTTGGGCAGTGCTTGCTGCAGCCACTGTGGGGGATGGGGGTGGTTCTCAGGCCAATGAAGTTATGTTCCACAGAGGATTATGGCTACCTCTGCTGCATCATACAGTTCATCACTGAGAGAAAGCCTCCGGTGATAGGCTTCTCTCAGCTCCCACACAGCAAGTAAAGCCTGTCTCACTCTCATCATGCCCACCAACAGTGCCAAGTTTACATCCAGGCAATGGGCACACAGTGCTGAGATCTTGCCCCAGGCTATGAGCCTCCCCACTAAGAAAGCAAGCAGGGCTCCCAGGCCTTGCCCCTCCCTGTCTACCCACACTGTTGGCTGCAGCTTCTGCACTCATATCTGCATTTCCCATTCGCACCCCACCGCCAAGATTCTGCTCATGAAAATTCATGCTTAGTCAAAATTATTACAGAGTTCAGTCAGAAGCTTCTTTCACCCTGTGGCCCCTCCTCAATTCCACTGGGTACCTTCCCCAAGGACCCCTGTGAGAGAAGGCCAGGGATGGCTTCCCTGGGCTCAAGCTGGGGACCAGGAGTGTCTACAGGGCTCTTCCAGCTGCTTCTTCCACTTTTATATTTTGCTTAGCTCCCTACTTCCATTTCAGCTCTAGGGATGGTTAAATCCTTCTCCCATGATCTGGATTTCTGGTTCCCCAGTGGAGATGTGTGTTTGGAAGCAGGCTATCCCCCCCTCACACTTTGGGAACTGAATTTTTTGGCTGTCTCATGGAGTTTGCAGAGCAAGCCACATCTTTCAAAGGGTCTTTGAATTCTTTTGGTTTTCCTGGTATGTTTCTGCAGTGCTTTTTGGAGTAAAAGTTCATGATGTGAGTCTCTACCTGCTGTTCTGTCCAAGTGGGAGCTGCATACTAGTCCTGTCTCTTACCTGCCATTTTCCAAAATCATGATTTTTAAAAGGTATTTTAAGCATCTGACTCAGTGGAATCACTCTCTAAGAGATGTGGACAATACAGAAATGTAGAGTAGTTATTGCCAACAAGAAATTTACAGTATAAAAGAGGAAGAAAAAAATTACAAAGTGACAGGTATTATCCTACAGTCAAATGCTAAAACAGCAAACAGAAGAAAGAAGAGATTCTTCTGCTTGAGAAAAATTAAGGCAGATGGCATCTGATTTGGGAACTAAAGTTGGAAAGGATTCTTACTTCTAGAGATGACAGAGAGCAATTATCCTAAAAAACTGAAAAGAATTAAGACAAGTAAGTCCAACTTGTTAAACAATTTATGTTTTCCTATAGATAAATATAAAATTCATTAAAAATTATGGACTAAAATTTTAATAAAAACATTCATTATCTAAATAAGCCTTTTATGTGTATTCAACAAATATTTAATGTGTCCACTATGTAGTAGGGAGACAACAGAGGTTATAGTCTAGTGAAGGATGATAATAGACAAATAAAAGACAATGAACCACTAACAAATACAGTGGATAAGAAATAGAGAAGTAAATAAATATAAAAGATAATTACAAATACTACCAGATCACATGATGGGATGCCTTGTGTTGGAGGTCGTGTTTCAGATAGTTTGGTCAGGAAAGTCACTAGAGTAAGGAAGTGATAAATACATTAAAGATACAGAATGGTTAGATACATGAAAACAGGAATAGGCAAACTGCATAATCAGTAGAAATGCAAAATTTGCAGCATGTTTGAGAAACAGAAGAGGGGTAAAGCTGGAATAGAATCAGTGAAAGAAAACTTATGACCTAGGGCTATAAAGTACAAAAGGGCCCAGATTATGCAGAGCCTTGCTTTTGAAAAGAGCAATAAGAAATCATTGAAATAAATGTTCCGAGCACAAAAGTAAAACTGACATTTTGCCTTGGAAAACAGCAGTCTGACTCCTGAATGAATTTCCTGAAGAATGAATTTCAGGATCTCCATCTGACTAAAATGAAATAACAGGGGCCAGACCGACTCTACTAACTAATAAAATTTAAAAACTGGAGGATAGTTTCAAGATGGCTGACTAGAGGCATAGGACACTTTTCCACAAAGAATCAAAGTAGTCAGTAGATAGTTACACTTCAAAGAGAAAATGAAAGAGAACACACTGGAATTCAACATAGAAGTGACAGGAAACACCTGGGGCACAGAAGGAGAGGGAGGCTAGGCAGATGGCCTAGCCTCCCTACAATAGCAGAGCCAGGAGAAGCTCCCCAGTGTGGGAAAAGGTTAAATGAGAGATCCCCAGCAGTCCACATTCTCATCACAGACTCCTATAATCCTGGCCACATTGGAGTCCCTCAACCCTCATGGGCTCTGAGAATGGAATGGGAAGGTCCCCAAAGTCCCTGAGGTGGCACTGCTCCAGTAAGGGAGTTAATGCCAGGTCCCAACAAACCCCAAATCTGAAGCAGCTCCTTCAGGGCATCATTTGATAGCCCAGGCCCCAACAGATGGTATCCTGCCCCAGGGCCCAAAAAACCCTTGCATCTACATATCCCTGGAGCCCCACTGACATTTTCCCATGTCCATCTAGATGGGTGCTGCAGTAAGACACCAGTTGGACCCTGTGGATCAGCAGAGCCCCCCAGTACTCTAGCCCACAGTGTCCTGCACACTAGGGAAAAGGTGGTGTAGCACACCAGGAAGACTGCCCCTGGTACAAAGGGTGCCACAGCATGTGCTCCCCAGAGACAGAAGCCTGCCGGCCTGGGACTGCTATCACTTATAGCTGCCCCCAGTGACAGGGTGGCCACAAACTTGTGCATGCGCTGAAGATAGGTTCTCCCCGTCAACTGCCACTGCCAATTCTCAAAGCATGCTCTACCCAGAGCCTGAAATCTGCCTGTCTCAGGCAGCTACCAAAGATAGAAACTGCCTCCCCCTAGCAGCAGAGCCACCTCACACTTGCATGCCCCTGAGGACAGGCTTTCCCCACCCACTGCCTCTGCTGCCACTGCTACCCAGGCACACTGCTCAAACACCGGGGACCAGCCTGCCCTGTTCACTACAGCCTACACCCATGCACCATCAGGGGCCCTGAGAACAGGCCCACCCAGCCTGGCACCATCCCTTCCACACACCCCTGCATCTGCCAAGTCCAAGCATGATGCTTGAGGCCCCAGGAATTCTCTTGCCCCATCAGCCACCCCTGATGCACACACATACACCACCAGGTGGCTTAATAACAGCCCCACACCACCTGCCACCACCAGTGCCACTTGTATGCCTTCCAGAGTCCTGGCGCTTGTCCTGCCCCACCCACCATAGCCTGTGCCCATGTACACCACTGTAAGGACTTAAGAAGAGGCCTGCCTCACCTAGCACTAGCCCCCACTGCCCAAGCATACCTCCTGGGGGTCTGGGGATCATCTTACTCCATCAGTTGCCCCAGGTACATGTGCACACCACCTGAGTCTAACAACAGACCCAGAAAACCTGCCACCAGTGTGCAATCTACCCATCCAGAGGCCTGGAGATCTCCCCATCCATCCACCACAGCTGGCATCTGCACATTCCTTCCCAGAGCTTGAGGATGGGCTTCACCAGCCTGCTGCTACCACCACTGCCAGCACCCACACACACACACCACCCAGGGGCCTAGGGACTAGCCAGGCCAACCTGTCAAAGCTACCACTATCACCAACAAATGCCACCTGGAAACCTGAGGGTTGTCCGTCCCACCACCATGACTATCATCACCCACACCACATACACTGTATAGGGGCCCAAGGACTTACCCACCCACCTGGTCTGCCACTACCACAACCAGAACCTGAGCAAGCTGCCAGGAGGATCAAGAATTGGCCCACCTGGATCTGTCAATGCCAGCACCTAAACATGCTGTCTAGAAATCCAAGAACAGGCACACTCAGCATGCAATTGGGGCCCAAAGACTGGCCCACCTGGCATCCCATCCCCAGAAAAATCTCACCATAGCCTCCTCTAACAATTTTGTGGCCTAAGTCAATGAGGAAATCAGACACCACTGACGGTGTGTACAGTTAAAGAAATTATACAGAGACTACACTACTGCATGTATCCAGAATCAAAATCCAAGTGTCCTACCCAACCAACTTTATGGATACACCTATAGGAAAAAGTCTTCCCCTGTGAAAGCCAATCCAAAACATCAGAAGAAGAAACTATTACACCTGGTGCTCATATATCAATGAAAGAACACAAACATGAAAAAGCAAGGAAATATGGCACCTTCAAAAGAACACATTAATTCTCCAACAACAGATTCTAACAAAAAAGAAATTTATGAAATACCTGAAAAAGAATTCGAAATCATGATATAAAAGAAGCTCAGTGAGATAACAAAGAACACAGATAGAAAATACAAAGAAATCAGCAAACCAATTTAGAATATAAATGAGAAATTCACAAAGAGAGATATCACAAAAAAGAAGTCCTGGAAATGAAAAAGTCAATGAATGAAATGAAAAATACAATCAGGAGCATCAATAGATTAGATCAAACAGAAGAGTTTCAGAACTTAAAGATAGGTCTTTCAAAATAACCCAGTCAGATGAATTTAAAAAAAAAAAAAAGAAGAAGAAATGTAGAAAGACGTGACATATGACACACCATAAAGTGACAAAATATTCAAATGTTGAGTATCCCGAAAGGTGAAGAAAAGTTTAATGGTATAGAAAACCTATTTGATAAAATAATAGCTGAAAACTTCTCAAGACTAGCAAGCAATTTAGATATCCAGATAACTAAAGGATCCCAAAAGAAATACAACCCAAAAAGGTCTTATCTCCCACCACATTATAGTCAAACAGTCAAAAGTCAAAGACAGGTCAGGCGCAGTGGTTCATGCCTCTAATCCCAGTACTTTGGGAGGCCAAAGTGGGCAGATCACCTGAGGTCAGGAGTTCAAGACCAGTGTGGCCAACATGGCAAAAATCCATCGGAACTAAAAATACAAAAATTAGCTGGGTGTGGTGGCATGCACCTGTAGTCCCAGTTATTGAGGAGGCTGAGGCACAAGAATTGCTTGCTCCCAGGAGGCAGAGGTTGCAGTGAGCTGAGATGCCACCATTACACTCCAGCCTGGGTGATGGAGCAAGACTCTATCTCAAAAAAATAAATAAATAAAAACTCAGATGGCCAAATAGGAACAGCTCCAGTCTACAGCTCCCAGCGTGAGCTACACAGAAGACAGGTGATTTCTGCATTTCCAACTGAGGTACCGGGTTCATCTCACTGGGGAGTGTCGGAAAGTGCATGCAGGACAGTGGGGGCAGCATCCAGAGTGAGCCTAAGCAGGACAAGGCATCGCCTCACTTGGGAAGCGCAAGGGATCAGGGAATTCCCTCTCCTAGTCAAAGAAAGGGGTGACAGACGGCACCTGAAAAATCGGGTCACTCCCACCCTAATACTGTGCTTTTCCAACAGTCTTAGCAAACAGCACAACAGGAAATTATACCCCACACCTGGCTCAGAGGGTCCTACACCCATGGAGCCTCACTCATAGCTAGCACAGCAGTCTGAGAACAAACTGCAAGGCGGCAGCCAGGCTGGGAGGGGCGCCCACCACGGCGGAGGCTTAAGTAGGTAAACAAAGCAGCCAGGAAGCTCCAACTGGGTGGAGCCCACCGCAGCTCAAGGAGGCCTGCCTGCCTCTGTAGACTCCACCTCTGGGGGCAGGGCATAGACAAACAAAAGGCAGCAGAATCCTCTGCACACTTAAATGTCCCTGTCTGACAGCTTTGAAGAGAGTAGTAGTTCTCCCAGCACGCAGCTGGAGATCTCAGAATGGACAGACTGCGCCCTCAAGTGGGTCCCTGACGCCCGAGTAGCCTAACTGGGATGCACCCCCCAGTAGGGGCAGACTGACACCACACAGGGCCGGGTACTCCTCTGAGAAAAAACTTCCAGAGGAACAATAAGGCAGCAACATTTGCTTCTCACCAATATCTGCTGTTCTGCAGCCTCCCCTGCTGATACCCAGGCAAACAGGGTCTGGAGTGGACCTCCAGCATACTCCAACAGACCTGCAGCTGAGGGTCCTGACTGTTAGAAGGAAAACTAACAAACAGAAAGGACATCCACACCAAAACCCCATATGTATGTCACCATCATCAAAGACCAAAGGTAGATAAAACCACAAAGATGGGGAAAAAACGGAGCAGAAAAACTGGAAACTCTAAAAATCAGAGCGTCTCTCCTACTCTAAAGGAACGCAGCTCCTCACCAGCAAGGGAACAAAGCTGGATGGAGAATGACTTTGATGAGTTGAGAGAAGAAGGCTTCAGATGATCAAACTACTCCAAGCTAAAGGAGGAAGTTCGAACCCATGGCAAAGAAGTTAAAAACCTTGAAAAAAATTAGACGAATGGCCAACTAGAATAACCAATGCAGAGAAGTCCTTAAAGGACCTGATGGAGCTGAAAACAAAGGCATGAGAACTGCGTGATGAATGCACAAGCCTCAGTAGCCGATTCGATCAACTGGAAAAAACGGTGTTGGTGATGGAAGATCAAACGAATGAAATGAAGCAAGAGAGAAGTTTAGAAAAAAAATAACAAAAAAAAATGAACAAAGCCTCCAAGAAATATGGGACTATGTGAAAAGACCAAATCTATGTCTGATTGGTGTACCTGAAAGTGACAGGGAGAACGGAACCGAGTTGGAAAACACTCTGCAGGATATTATCCAGGAGAACCTCCCCAGTCTAGCAAGGCAGGCCAACATTTAACAGAGAACACCACAAAGATACTCCTCGAGAAGAGCAACTCCAAGACACATAATTGTCAGATTCACCAAAGTTGAAATGAAGGAAAAAATGTTAAGGGCAGCCAGAGAGAAAGGTTGGGTTACCCACAACGGGAAGCCCATCAGACTAAGAGCTGATCTCTCGGCAGAAACTCTACAAGCCAGAAGAGAGTGGGGGCCAATATTCAACATTCTTAAAGAAAAGAATTTTCAACCCAGAATTTCATATCCAGCCAAACTAAGCTTCATAAGTGAAGGAGAAATCAAATCCTTTACAGACAAGCAAATGCTGAGAGATTTTGTCACCACCAGGCCTGCCCTAAAAGAGCTCCTGAAGGAAGCAATAAACATGGAAAGGAACAACTGGTACCAGCCACTGCAAAAACATGCCTAATTGTAAAGACCATCGAGACTAGGAAGAAACTGCATCAACTAACAAGCAAAATAACAAGCTAACATCATAATGAAAGGATCAAATTCACACATAACAATATTAACCTTAAATGTAAATGGGCTAAATACTCCAATTAAAAGACACAGAGTGGAAAATTGGATAAAGAGTTAAGACCCATCAGTGTGCTGTATTCAGGAGACCCATCTCACCCGCAGAGACACACATAGGCCCAAAATAAAGGGATGGAGGAAGATCTACCAAGCAAATGGAAAACAAAAAAAGGCAGGGGTTGCAATCCTAGTCTCTGATAAAACAGACTTTGAACAAACAAAGATCAAAAGAGACAAAGAAGGCCATTACATAATGGTAAAGGAATCAATTCAACAAGAAGAGCTAACTATCCTAAATATATATGCACCCAATACAGGAGCGCCCAGATTCACAAAGCAAGTCATTAGAGACCTAGAAAGAGACTTAGACTCCCACACATTAATAATGGGAGACTTTAACACCCCACTGTCAACATTAGACAGATCAATGAGACAGAAAGTTAACAAGATATCCAGGAATTGAACTCAGCTCTGCACCAAGCAGACCTAACAGACATCTACAGAACTCTCCACCCCAAATCAACAGAATATACATTCTTCTCAGCACGACACCGCACTTATTCCAAAATTGACCACATAGTTGGAAGTAAAGCACTCCTCAGCAAATGTAAAAGAACAGAAATTATAACAAACTGTCTCTCAGACCACAGTGCAATCAAACTAGAATTCAGGATTAAGAAACTCACTCAAAACCGCTAAACTACATGGAAACTGAAAAACCTGCTCCTGAATGACTACTGGGTACATAAAGAAATGAAGGCAGAAATAAAGATATTCTTTGAAACCAATGAGAACAAAGACACAACATACCAGAATCTCTGGGACACATTCAAAGCAGTGTATAGAGGGAAATTTCTAGCACTAAATGCCCACAAGAGAAAGCAGGAAAGATCTAAAATTGACACCCTAACACCACAATTAAAAGAACTAGAGAAGCAAGAGCAAACACATTCAAAAGCTAGCAGAAGGCAAGAAATAAGTAAGATCAGAGCAGAACTGAAGGAAATAGAGACACAAAAAACCCTTCAAAAAATTAATGAATCCAGGAGCTGGTTTTTTGAAAAGATCAACAAAACTGATGGACCGCTAGCAAGACTAATAAAGAAGAAAAGAGAGAAGAATCAAATAGATGCAATAAAAAATGATAAAGGGGATATCACTACCAATCCCACAGAAATACAAACTACCATCAGAGAATACTATAAACACCTCTACGCAAATAAACTAGAAAATCTAGAAGAAAAGGATAAATTCCTCGACACATACACTCTCCCAAGACTAAACCAGGAAGAAGTTGAATCTCTGAATAGACCAATAACAGGCTCTGAAATTGAGGCAATAATTAATAGCTTACCAACCAAAACAAGTCCAGGACCAGATGGATTCACAGCCGAATTCTACCAAAGGTACAAGGAGGAGCTGGTACCATTTCTTCTGAAACTATTCCAATCAGTAGAAAAAGAGGGAATCCTCCCTAACTCATTTTATGAGGCTAGCATCATCCTGATACCAAAGCCGGGCAGAGACACAACAAAAAAAGAGAACTTTAGACCAATATTCCTGATGAACATCGATGCAAAAGTCCTCAATAAAATACTGGCAAACTGAATCCAGCAGCATATCAAAAAGCTTATCCACCATGATCAAGTGGGCTTCATCCCTGGGGTGCAAGGCTGGTTCAACATATGCAAATCAATAAACGTAATCCAGCATATAAACAGAACCAACAACAAAAGCCACATGATTATCTCAATAGATGCAGAAAAGGCCTTTGACAAAATTCAACAACCCTTCATGCTAAAAGCTCTCAATAAATTAGGTATTGATGGGACATATTTCAAAATAATAAGAGCTATTTATGACAAACCCACAGCCAATATCATACTGAAAGGGCAAAAACTGAAAGCATTCCCTTCAAAACCTGGCACAAGACAGGGATGCCCTCTCTCACCACTCCTATTCAACATAGTATTGGAAGTTCTGGCCAGGGCAATTAGGCAGGAGAAGGAAATAAAGGATAATCAAGTAGGAAAAGAGGAAGTTAAATTGTTTGCAGATGACATGATTGTATACCTAGAAAACCCCATCGTCTCAGCTCAAAATCTCCTTAAGCTGATAGGCAACTTCAGCAAAGTCTCAGGATACAAAATCAATGTGCAAAAATCACAAGCATTCTTATACACCAATAACAGACAAACAGAGCCAAATCATGAGTGAACTCCCATTCACAATTGCTTCCAAGAGAATAAAATACCTAGGAATCCAACTTACAAGGGATGTGAAGGAACTCTTCAAGGAGAACTACAAACCACTGCTCAATGAAATAAAAGAGGATACAAACAAATGGAAGAACATTCCATGCTCATGGGTAGGAAGAATCAATATCGTGAAAATGGCCATACTGCCCAAGGTAATTTATAGATTCAATGCCATCCCCATCAAGCTACCAATGACTTTCTTCACAGAATTGGAAAAAACTACTTTAAAGTTCATATGGAACCAAAAAAGAGCCCGCATCGCCAAGTCAATCCTAAGCCAAAAGAACAAAGCTGGAGGCATCACGCTACCTGACTTCAAACTATACTACAAGGCTACAGTAAACAAAACAGCATGGTACTGGTACCAAAACAGAGATATAGAACAATGGAACAGAACAGAGCCCTCAGAAATAATGCCACACATCTACAACCATCTGATCTTTGACAAACCTGACAAAAACAAGAAATGGGGAAACGATTCCCTATTTAATAAATGATGCGGGGAAAACTGGCTAGCCATATGTAGAAAGCTGAAACTGGATCCCTTCCTTACACCTTATACAAAAACTAATTCAAGATGGATTAAAGACTTACATGTTAGACCTAAAACCATAAAAACCCTAGAAGAAAACCTAGGCAATACCATTCAGGACATAGGCATGGGCAAGGACTTCATGTCTAAAACACCAAAAGCAATGGCAACAAAAGCCAAAATTGACAAATGGGATCTAATTAAACTAAAGAGCTTCTGCACAGCAAAAGAAACTATGATCAGAATGAACAGGCAACCTACAGAATGGGAGAAAATTTTTGCAATCTATCCATCTGACAAATGGCTAATATCCAGAATCTACAATGAACTCCAAAAAATTTACAAGAAAAAAACAACCGCATCAAAAAGGGGGCAAAGGATATGAACAGACACTTCTCAAAAGAAGACATTTATGCAGCCAACAGACACATGAAAAAATGCTCATCATCACTGTCCATCAGAGAAATGCAAATCAAAACCACAATGAGATACCATCTCACACCAGTTAGAATGGCGATTATTAAAAAGCCAGGAAACAACAGATGCTGGAGAGGATATGGAGAAATAGGAACACTTTTATACTGTTGGTGGGACTGTAAACTAGTTCAACCATTGTGGAAGATGGTGTGGTGATTCCTCAGGGATCTAGAACTAGAAATACCATTTGACCCAGCAATCCCATTACTGGGTATATACCCAAAGGATTATAAATCATGCTGCTATAAAAACACATGCACACGTATGTTTATTGTGGCACTATTCACAATAGCAAAGACGTGGAACCAACCCAAATGTCCAACAATGATAGACTGGATCAAGAAAATGTGGCACATATACACCATGGAATACTATGCAGCCATAAAAAAGGATGAGTTCATGTCCTTTGTAGGGACATGGATGAAGCTGGAAACCATCATTCTCAGCAAACTAGCGCAAGGACAATAAACCAAACACCACATGTTCTCACTCATAGGTGGGAATTGAACAATGAGAACACATGGACACAGGAAGGGGAACATCACACACCAGGGCCTGTTGTGGGGTGGGGGGAGGGTATAGGGATAGCATTAGGAGAAATACCTAATGTTAAATGACGAGTTAATGGGTGCAGCACACCAACATGGCATATGTATACATATGTAACTAACCTGCACATTGTGCACATGTACCCTAAAACTTAAAGTTTAAAAAAAAAAAACTCAAAGACAAATAATTCTAAAAACAAGAGAGAAGTTGTCATATGTAAGTGAATTCTTATTAGACTAACAATGAATTTTTAACAGAAATCTTATAGGCCAGGAGAGAAAGGGATGATATATTCTGGTAGCCAGGAATACCCAGAAAGGCTATCCTTCAAAAATGAAAGAGAAATAAAAACATTTCCAAGCCAAAAAAGAAAAGAAAAGAAAAAGAAAGCAGGAGATTCATCACCACTAGATCTGCCCTACAAGAATTGCTTGGTGACTTTTTCACCTCAAAGTGAAGGGATGATATCTACTATAACGAAAATGCATGAAAGTATAAAACTAACTGGTAGAGCAAAGATACAAATAAGGAAGAAAAACGACTCAAATGTTACCACACCAGAAAATCAAACCATTAATATATATAGTAAGAGAGAAATAACAAAAGAAATACAACCAGAAGACAATTGATAACATGACAGAAATCAGTCCTCACATATCAAGAGTAACCTTGAATGTAAACTGATTAAAATTTCCCATTAAAAGATATGGATCCACTGCATGAATAAGAAACCATAACACAACTATATGCTACCCACAAGAAACTCAATTCATCTCTTAAGACATATATAGACTGAAAGTAAAGGGATGTAAAAAGATATTCCACACAAAAGGAAACCAAAAGTGAGCAGGCTTTAAGTCAAAAACACTTCAAAGAAACCAAAGGTCATTATATAATGGTAAAAGGATCAATTCAGCAGGAGGATACAACATTTCTAAATATATATATATGCACCCAACACTAGAGCAACAAGATTCATAAAGCAAATACTATTAGATCTAAATAGAGAGAGACACCAATACAATAAGAGTTGGAGACTTCAATGCCACACTCTCAGCATAAGACAGATCAACTACACAAAATATTGAAGAGGAGAAAATCTTCCTAACTCATTATATGAAGCCGGATTACTCTGATATCAAAACCAGGCAAGGATACAACAAAAAGAAAATTATAGGCCAATATTCCTGATGAATAGACACAAAAATCCTCAACAATACACTAGCAAACCAAATCCAAAAGTACTTAAAAAAAGATAATACATGATCATCAAGTGGATTATCCTAGGGATATAAGAATGGTTCAACATATGCAAATCAATCAATGTGATATAAAACATCAACAGAATGAAGGACAAAAACCATATTATCCTACCAATTAATTCAGGAAAAGCATGCAATAAAATTCAACACCCATTCATGATAAAAACATTCAACAAACTAAGCACAGAAGGAACATATCTGAATATAATAAAGGTCATCTATGACAAGCCCACAGGTATCATACTGAATGGGAAAAACCTGAAAGCCTTTCTTTTAAGAACTAGAACAAGACAAAGATGCTCTTTCACCACTCCTATTCAACATGGTATTGGAGGTCCTAGCCAGAGCAATGAGGCAAGAGAAAGAAACAAAAGGCATCCAAACTGGAAAAGGGAAAGTCAAATTGTCCCTCTTTGCAGATGACATGATCTTATATTTAGAAAAACCTAGACTCCACCAAAAAAAAAAGCTCTTAGATTTGATAAATTCAGTAAAGTTACAGGACAGAAAGTCAACAAACATCAGTAGAATATGTATACATCAATAATGAACTATCTGAAAAACAAATCAAGAAAGCAATCCCATTATATACCTACAACATATAAAAATAAAATATCTAGGAATAAATTTAACTAAGGAGGTGAAAGGCCTCTACAAAGGAAACTACAAATATTTGATAAAATAAATTGATGAAGATACAAATGGAAAGACATCCAATGCTCCTGGATTGGAATAATGAGTATTGTTAAAATAATCATACTACCCAAAGCAATCTACAGAGTCAATGTAATCTCTGTCAATAAATTTTTCACAGACATCGAAAAACAATCCTAAAATTTGTATGGAACCCAATAAACAGCCAAAGTAGCCAAAGCAATCCTGAGCAAAAAGAACAAAGGTGGAGGCATCACACTACCCAACTTCAAAATATATTACAAGGCTATAGTAACCAAACAGCATGATATTGATACAAAAACAGGCACATGGACCAATGAAACAGAATGAGAACCCAGAAATAAACCCATATATTTACAGCCAACTGATTGTTGACAAAGGTGTCACAAATATATCTTGGGGAAAGGACACCTTCAATAAATGGTGCTGGGTAAACTAGAAATCCATATGTGGAAGAATTAAACTAGACAACCACTTCTCACCATATACAAAAATCAACTCAAAATATTAAAGACTTAAATGTATAGCTTGAAACAATAAAACTATTAGAAGAAAATACAGAAGAAACACTCCAGGACATTGGTCTAGGCAAAGATTTTATGACTTAGACTTCAAAAGCAGAGACAAGAAGAAAAAAATAGATAAGTGGGACTATATTAAACTAAAAAGCTTCTTCACAGTAAAGGAAACAATCATCAGAGTGAAGAGACAACCTGTTGAATGAAAGAAAATATTTGCAAATTATTAATCTGACAAAGGACTAATATCCAGAATATACAAGAAACTCAAATGACTCAACAGGAAAAAAACAAACAACCCGTTAAAAAGTGGGCAAAGGATATAGACACTTCTCAAAAGAAGACATACAAATGCCCAAAAGGTATATTTAAAAAAAAATGCTCAACGTCACTAGTCATTAGGGAAATGCAAATCAAAATCACGATAAGGTATCATCTTATTTCAGTTAGAATGGCTATTATCAAAAAACAAAAAAATAACAAACAGCAAGGACATGGAGAAAAGAGAACTCTCATACACTGTTGGTGAGAATGTAAATTAGTACTGTCATTACGGAAAAGAATGTGGAGACATCTCAAAAAACTAAAAGTAGAATGGCAGTATGATCCAGCAACCTCATTACTGGCTATTTATCCAAATAAAAGGAAAACAGTCTATCAAAACAATATATGCACCCCCATGTTTATTACAGCACTATTCACAATAGCAAAGATATGGAATCAACCTAAGCATACTTCAGTAGATGAACGGATAACAAAATGTGGTAAATTTACAAAACAGAATACTATCCATCCATTAAAAAAGAATGAAATCGTGTCATTTGCAGCAACATGGGTGGAACTGGAAGTGAAATAAGCCAGACACAGAAAGACAAATAGCACATGTACTCACTCACATGTGGGAGCTAAAAAAGTTAATCTCTCGTGGGTAGAGTAGAATGATAGTTACCAGAGGCTGGGAAGGATGTAGATATGTGTGCAGAGGGAAGGGAGGGGCTGTGAAGGGAGGTTTAATGGGTACAAACATATAATAGATAGAATGAACAAGTGCTAATATTTGATAGTAGAGTAGGGTGCTGTAGTTAACAAAAATGTGTTGTACATTTCAAAATAGCTAGAGGTGAGGACTTAAAATGTTCTCAACACATAGAAATTATCAATGGTTGTGGTGATGGATATCCTAAATACCCTGACCTGATTATTACACATTCCATGCATGCAACAACATACCACATGTACCCCAGTAATATGTACAATATTAAATAATATGTATCAATAAAAAATTTAAAAAAAAAGAACAAAATATATGGACAACAGTTTTCAGTCAGAGGAGACCAGGTGAGCAAGATAATGATCCCTGAGAGAGAGAAAACAAATGAGGAGAACTCTGTGATTGTTCCTAGGTTATTGTCTGGAGAGAACATTCAAGCCACAGAACAAGGAAAGAGAACCTAATCAGAGCCCAACTGAGGCTCCCTTTGTTGAGGAAACACCTGGGGATCCAGGGAGATTGCAGAGGATAGAGTTCACAAGTTAGAGTACCATAAAGGAGAGTGTTTCAGAGAGTAAGACCTCCAGAGATCCAGAGTGTTCTCAAGTGTTCAACTAAATACTAACCGGCACATGCATGTGAAGTAATTGCCGAAGGCTGTGAAAAGAACCACCCAAGGTAAGAAAAATAGAACAATCTCAGGAGCTCACTAGGGGGGAAAATTTTGATTCCACCCTCTAGAGTGGAAAATTTCATAATTCAAGGGGGATCAAGAAAGTATTCAGAAGGGTATTGCCTCAGCAGTGGAGCAAAATTAACTACAAACTGAAGGCTTATTGGTCCTGCTTGACAAAATTTAAAAGCAAGCCTCAATAAGATCATAGGGTTTCCAAGTACCATAGTGTTTCCAAGTACCATAGTGTTTCCAAGGATGATGTGCAGGAAAATAAAAATGTCCAGCAGCCATAAAAATAAAAATTCATAATGTATAGAATCCAACAAAATTACCAGGAATGCAAAAAAGAGAAGATCTATAATGAGAAGCAAAATCAATTATTAAAAACAGATCAAGAAATGACAAAAATAATGGAATTCGTAGACAAGTACATTAAAAGTTATCATAACTATATTTCCTGTATTCAAGGAGACAGAGGAAATACTGAACATGCCTAATAGATACATGGAAGATAAAAAAGAAAAGGTAAATCAAAGTTCTAGAGATGAAAATTACACTGGATGGGATTACCAGCAGATAAGACCACACGGAAGATACAATTATGGACGTGGAAGATATAGTAATATAATCTACATAAAATAAAACAATGAGAGAAAAAAGACTGGAAAAAACAGAGCACCAGTAAACTGAGATTTCAAGTAGACTAATTTACCAATTTGAGTCCCCCAAGGAGAAGGAAAGGAGTCAGAAAAAATATTTGAAGAAATAATGGATAAAAATTTTTGATAAAAATAAGTCCACAAATCCAAGATCAAGAAAACCCAAACATAAGAAATAGAAAGAAAATTAATATCTTAATCAAAGAATAGAAATCAATGTTTAAAAAATCATGACAGAAAAATCACAAAAACAAAGATAAAAACTATATTATATATACAGATATTAAGATAATGACAGCAAACTTCTAGTTGGAAACTACACCAAGTCAAAAGACATCTTTCAAAAACAGAAATTTGCAAATATACAAAGATTAGAGCATTAATCACCAGCAGATCTACAATAGAAGAAATGTTAAGTCTTTCAAACAGAAAATGACACCAGATGGAAATCTATATCTACACAAAATAATGAAGACCACTAAAAATAACAACTACGTGCTTAAATATAAGAAACATATTTTCTTATTTAGCTTTCTTTAAAACAAAACAACAATGCATTATTGGGTTTATAACATACACATAAATAAATGTACGAATATAACACAAAGGCCAAAGGAGAGAAGAAATAAAAAGTATACTACTGTAAGATTCTTATACTATACTTGATACTATAACTTGAAGATAATCTGTGATACATTAATATATATCTGATAAAGTCTAAAGCAATCAATAATAAAACAGAATTATAGCTAATAAACAAAGAGATGAAAAGAAGTCATAAAAATACTTAAATAAAAGTAGAAAAAGAGGCAAAGGGATGGACAAAATGCAAACAGCAAGAGGACAGACTTAAATCCAAACCTATACATTGTCATATTAAATGTAAACCATATTCTTAGCCACTATACCAGTCTGAATAAATTTGGAAGGATCAAATCATACAAAGTATGTTCCTTGTCCACAAAGGAATTAATTCATAAAGATAATGGGAAAGTCTTAGTTTCTGGGAACCAAATACGAAATTTCTAAATAACTCATGGATTGAAACAGAAATCCAAAGAAAGATTAGAATGTATTTTGATCCAGGCTGGGCATGGTGTCTCAAGCCTATAATCCCAGCACTTTGGGAGGCTGAGGCAGGTGGATCACTTGAGGTCAGGAGTTCGAGACCAGTCTGGCCAACATGGTGAAACCCCAACTCTACTAAAAATATTTTTAAAACTTAGCCAGGCGTGGTGGGAGGCACCTGTAATCCCAGCTACTTAAGAGGCTGAGGCAGGAGAATCACTTGAACCCGGGAGGCAGAGGTTGCAGTGAGCCAACATCACACCACTGCACTCCAGTCTGCGCAACAGAGCTAGACACTGTCTCAAAAAAAAAAAGTATTTTGATGTGAATAAAAATGAAAACATAATATTTCAAAATTTGTAAGATACAGCAAAAACAGCAGTTAGTAGAGAATTTATAGCCCTAAAATGCCTATATTAGTAAAGAAGAATGGTTTCAAACCAATGACCTTACCTCTTAAAAAAACTAGAAAACGCAGAGGAAATTAAATGCAAAATAAGCAGACAAAAGAAAATAATAAATAGAAAAGCAGAATTCAATGCAATTTTTAAAAATATAAAAATAAAAGACTTGTGAAACTAAAAGATAATTCTGTAAGAACATAAATAAAATTGATATTGCTGTATCAGAAGTCAGAAAAAAATAGAGAATAAGAGAAAAATAATCTCATTAATGAGAGAGAAAGTGCTACAGATGGTAAAGATTTCAAACAATAAGAGAAAGTTATGAATAACTTTATGTCAATAAATTCTACAAGGTAGACAAAATAAATACATTCTTTGTAAGACACAAACTACCAAAGCTCACTCAAGAACAAATAATCTGATTGACTAGCCCTGTGTTCAGTAAAAACTTAAAACTGTAATAAAAATACTTCCCACAAAAGAGAACACCAGTACTCACATGGCTTCACTGATTAACTTTATGATTTAAGTTAGAAATTACAATCATGTATCACTTTACAACAAGAATACATTTTGATAAATGTGTCATTAGGCAATTTTGTCATTGTGGGAACATCATAGGGTGTACTTACACAAACCTAGATGGGACAGCCTACTACACACCGAGGCTATATAGTATGGCCTATTGCTCCTAGGCTACAAACCTGTACAGTATTGCCTACAGTACAATTGCCTATAGCACAATATTGTAGGCAAGTGTAACACAATGATATTTGTGTATCTAAACATAGAAAAGGTATAGGAAAAAAATACAGCATAAAAATTTTTTTAAAGGCACATCTGCAAAGGACACGTAGCATGAATGGAGCTTGCAGGATGAAAGTTGTTTTGGGTAAGTCAGTGAGTGGGGAGTGAATGTGAAGGCCTAGAACATTACTATACACTACTGTAGACTATAAACACTCTACACTTACGCTTCACTAAATTTATTTTTAAAAATTTCTTTCATCAATAAATTAACCTTATCTTACTGTAGCTTTATAAATGTTTTAATTTTTTAAACTTTTTGACTCTATTGTAATAACTTAGCTTAAAACAAATACATTGTACAGCTGTAAAAAAATTTTTCTTTACAGCCTTATTCTATAAGCTTTTTTCTATTTTTAAATTTTTTTAAATGTTTTCCTTACTTTTAACCTTTTTTGTTAAAAACTAGGACATAAACATACATTAGCCTAGGTCCACACAGGGTCAGGATCATCAATCTCACTGTCTTTCACTTCCCCATCTTGTCCCACTGGAAGGTCTTCAGGGGCAGTGATTCACAGGGAACTGTCATTTCTTATGATAACAATGCCTTCTTCTGGAATACCTCCTGAAAGGCCCTGCCTGAGCCTGTTTTACAATTAACTTTTTTTCTAATAAGTAGAAAGAGCACACTCTAAAATAACAATAAATAGTATAATAAATACATAAACCATTAACAAGTCATTTATTATCATTATCAATTATTATGTATTATACATAATTGTATATGCTATGCTTTCATATGACTGGCAGGTTTGTTAATACTAGCATCACACAAACACATGAGGAATGAGCTGTGCTACTATATTACAATAGCTACGATGTCACTAGATGGTAGGAATTTTTCAGCTCCATTATAATATTATGGGACCACCATCATATATGCCATTCATTGTTGACTGAAACATTGTTATGCAGCACATAACTGTATATGCTTTCTATACAAACTCTTCCAGAAAATTAAACATGATGGAATACTTCCCAGCTCATTCTATGACACTGACATTATGCTGGTCAAAACCAGACTAAGATATTACAAGAAAAGAAACCTACAAAATAATATTCCTCATGAAGACTGACACAAGATTTCCTAACAAAATTTTACCAAATCAAAGTCAAGAATACATAACAAGAATAACATATTGTGACAGGTGGGATTTATCCCAGGAATACAAGGTTGGTTTAACATTAGAAAAAGAAGAAAAAAAAAACCTGATGTGGGGCAGGACCTTCTGGGATGATAGAGTGAGCAATTTGGCAAATACTCTCCCCCAAAATGCAATGTTAAAACCAGACAAAATGTGCAAAAACAACCATTTCAGAATGTGTGAAGTAACCAAAGGCACACGATAAACTGAGAAGCAGTACTTCAAGAAAACTACTGAGCCTTAGTAGAAATAGTAGGTGTCCATACAGTTATAGCCTGGAGCTATCCCTTCCCTCCACCCCTAGATCCATGAGTGGTAGCTCTACCAAGGTTGGAGAGCCCCGTAATGGAAGGGCATCAAAAACAATCATATTTTCAGTGGCAAACCATCAGGGAAGTCCAACACTGCAGCTCCCTGAGACTGTAATATTTGAAAGCAGGCAAAAACCATTAAGAAATTTCATAGAGAAATCAGGAAAACAAATAGTCATAATGAGCTTTGATAAACTCCCAGACCTGAGGTCATCTAGGAGGATGCATACATGTGTAAGGCTGTGTGTACACTCAGGAGAGACCAGAGGGCCTCAGGTATCTACTCATCCTTGGCTGAATGTGAGGTGTTGCATACAAGAGGAAGCCTTATTAGGTCTAGCTGTTTAAACACAACTTCTGACCAATCATTAGTTGACATCTAAGCAGTACTACAAGAGAAAGATATAAAATCAGCAGGTTAAGCTACCACTTTAAGAAACTAGAAAAAGACGGGCAACCTAAATCCAAGGCAAGCAGAAAAAGAAAATTATAAACATTAGTGTAGAACTTAAAAAATGGAAAATAGAAAAACAATTGAGAAAATTGATTAAACCAAAACTCAGTTGTTTAAAAAGACCTACAAAATTGAAAAATCTTCAGCTACACTAAACATGAAAAAAAGAGAGAGAATGCATATCTAGAATTAAAGAAGTGATATAAACACCAATCTTACAGAAACTAAAAGGATTTCAAGGGTATACTATAAACAACTTCATGCCAACAAATCATGCAACTTAGATGAAATGGACAAATTCCTAGTAAAACACAAATTACCACAATTGACTCAAGAACAAACTAGACAATCTGAACAGACCATAACAAGAAAATGAATTAGTAATTAAGTGTTCTCACTAAAAAAAAGTCCATGTGCAGATGCCTTCACTGGTGAATTCTAAGAAAAACTTAGAAAAGAAATAATACCAACCCTCCACAAATTCTTACATAAAACAGGGGGAAACACTTTCAACTTTTTCTATGAGGCCAGTATTACCCTGATACCAAAGCCGAACAATCACGAAGAAATAAAAAATTCAGACAAATATTCTTCATAAATATAGACACAAAAACCATCAATAAAATATTAGCAAACCAAATCCAACAACTTATGGAGAGGATTATACACCAAGCAGTTTTTTTTTTTTTTAAGACAGAGTCTCACTTTGTCTCCCAGGCTGGAGTGCACTGGCACGATCTCGGCTCACTGCAAGCTCCGCCTGCCGGGTTCACACCATTCTCCTGCCTCAGGCTCCCGAGTAGCTGGGACTACAGGCGCCCGCCACCACACCGGACTAATTTTTTTGTATTTTTAGTAGAGACGGGGTTTCACTGTGTTAGTCAGGATGATCTCGATCTCCTGACCTCGTGATCCGCCCACCTTGGCCTCCCAAAGTGCTGGGATTACAGGCGTGAGCCACCACGCCCGGCCTACACCAAGCAGTTTTCATCCCATCAATACAAGGTGGTTTGACACCTGAAAATAAATTGTTATATATTAACAGGTTAAAGGAAAAAAAAACAACATCATAATTTCAAGAGACATGGAAGGAGCACTTGACAAAATTCATGATAAAAACTCTCAATGCTCTAGAAACAGAAGAGAACTTTCACAACCTGATAAAGGACACTTACAAAAACACCTATAGCTAACATCATACTTAAAAAAAACAACATCATAATTTCAAGACACATGGAAGGAGCACTTGACAAAACTCATGATAAAAACTCTCAATGCTCTAGAAACAGAAGAGAACTTTCACAACCTGATAAAGGACACTTACAAAAACACCTATAGCTAACATCATACTTTAAAAAAATCATAATTTCAAGAGACATGGAAGGAGCACTTGACAAAATTCATGATAAAAAGTCTCAATGCTCTAGAAACAGAAGAGAACTTTCACAACCTGTTAAAGGACACTTACAAAAACACCTATAGCTAACATCATACTTACTGGTGAAAGACTGAATGCTTTTTCCCTAAAACTGAGAACAATAGGCACATCTGCTCTTGCCACTGCTATTCAGCATTGTACTGGAGGCTCTAGTTAGCAAAGTTAAGCAAGAAAGGGAAGTAAAAATTGCTCCCTGGCCTTTTGGCTAAGATCACATTCACAATGCAAAAAAAAAAGAAGAAGAAGAGGAAGAAGAAGAGGAAGAAAAAGAAGAAGAAGAAAGAAGAAGAAGAAGAAGAAAAAGAAGAAGAAGAAGAAGAAGAAGAAGAAGAAGAAGAAGAAGAAGACATCCAGATTGAAAAGAGAGAGGTAAAAATATACTTACTATGGACAATGTATTCCAACATGATTTAAAAAAACCCCTACTCAACTATTACTAGAATAATAAAATTGTCAAAGTCAAAAGATGTAAGATTCATATACAAAAATTAATCGTATTTCTATACACTACCGAGGAATAATCCAAAAATGAAATTGGGAAAGTAATTCCATTTACGAAAGCATAAAAAGAATAAAATACTAGGAAGAAAGAAACAAGGCTTATAGCCTGAAAACCATAATATATTATTGAAGAAATTAAAGAAGATGAAAGAAGAAAAACATTTTATGCTTGTGGACTGTCAAAGTCACTATTGTTAAGATGGCAATTCTATCAAAATTAATCTATAAATTCAACATAATCTCTTAAAATCCAAATAGATTTGGTTTCTGGTTTTTGATTGTGCTGCAGAAACTGACCATCAGATCCTAAAATTTATATGGAATTGCAAAGGATTAAGAAGAGCCAAAACACTTTTGAAAAAAAAATGTTGGACTAATACACTTCTTTGATCTCAAAACTAACAATAAAGCTACAGTAACCAAGACAGTTTGGTACTAACATAATCAACAGAACAGAACTGAGATTCCAGAAAAAAATCCTTATATTTACAGTCAATTGATTTCTGACAAAGGTGCCAAAGCAATTAAGCAAGGAAAAAATATTCTTTTCCACAAATG
Source organism: Homo sapiens (assembly GCF_000001405.40). Classification (NCBI taxonomy): domain Eukaryota; kingdom Metazoa; phylum Chordata; class Mammalia; order Primates; family Hominidae; genus Homo; species Homo sapiens. Next base: position 39,652,780 of record NC_000012.12, on the reverse strand, counting down.
TAAATAATGGATTCAGACCCTTACCACACCCAACACATAAAAATTAACTCAAAATGAATCATAGACCTACATGTAAGATCTAAAAGTATAAAACAGAAGAAAATCTTCATGACCTTGGGTTAAGCAAAGATTTGTTGGTTTTGACACCATAAGCACAATAAATGAAAAAATTAATGTCGGACTTCATCAAATTAAACCTTTTGCACTTCAAAAAGGTACCAGTAATAAAATGAAAAGGGTAAACATTTCACCAGAGTCACACATGGCTAATATGCACATGAAAAGATGCCAAAATCATTAGTCATTAGAGAAATGCAAATTAAAAACATGAGATACTACTACACACTGACTAGAATGGGTTAAATTTTAAAAGACTGACTGTACCAAGTGTTGACAAGGATGCGCTGCAATGTTCATACATTGTTAATGGGAATATAAAATGATACAAATACCACTGGAAAATAGTTCGGTAGTTTTTTTAAACTTAAACATACACCTAACAAATGATCCAGTCATTCCACTTGCACCCAGGAGAAATGAAGTATATGTCAAAACAAAGACTTATACATGAACTGTCACAGCAGGTATATTTGGAATAGGCAAAAACTCGGGGGAAACACCAAATGCCCATGAACAGGTAAATGAATACGTTGTGCTATGTCCATACAATGAAATACTACCCTGCAATAAAAAGGAATGAACTATAGATACGGGCAACAACCAACATAGATGAATTTCAAAATAATTACACTGAGTGAAAGAGGTCAAACAACAAAAAAGAACACACTATATGATGTCTTATTTAAAATTATAGAAAATATGGGCTAATACAGAGCAACACAAAGCAGATCAGTGGTTGCTTTGGGATAGGTACAAGGGATGTGAAGCAATAGGGAGAAGGGATTACCAAGGTACCCAAATAAACTACTGGGGATAATAAATGTGTTCATGTGTCATTATCTTTGACATTGTCAAAATTTATCAAAGTGCATAAATTCATTATCATAGTTAAATAAGTTTAGTTTATTTTATGTCATTTAATAAAACTGGTTTTAAAAAATGTATCTCAGAACAAAAAAGAACTGTTACCTGGCATTACAACTCTCCAGGCAAGAAAGAATGATGTCATAGACTGGGATGGAACCCATACAAACAGAAATGTAAGTAGATAATTTTAAACTTTATTAAAATACAGAATTGACAACTTTTTTGGTGAAATGGACATTGAGAGTTGAAGGAAAGGAAGGAATCAAGTACAACTTTTATTTTGGCTTTAGCAACTCAGTGAATAGTGGTGCCATTTACCAAAATAAGGAAACTAGGATAGTATGACAGAGTCAAGGTTTCTCATCACATCACCAGGAGTGGGTCAAACTGGTTTTACAAGCTTAATAGATTTTAAAACAACAAACTAGGATTCACAGAATTCCCTATTACCCACAGTTTCACTTTCTGCAGTTTCTGCTTTCCATGGTCGGTCTATAACCCACAGTCAACCGCAGTCCAAAAATAGGTAAGTACAGTATATATAGTAAGATACTTTGAGACCAAGAGACTACATTCTTATAACTTTTAACAGTATATCATTATAATTGTTCTATTCTATTATTAGTTATTGTTGTTAATCTATTACTGTCCCTAACATAAATTAAACTTTACCATAGATGTATGCATACAAAAAAACATAGCATATATAGGGTTTGGCACTGTCTGCAATTTCAGGATTCCACTGGGGGTTTTGGAACATATCCCCTGTGGATAAGGTGGCACTACTGTACTGTATATATAGACATCTAGAAAATGAAAGTGGGATTCTATTCAACTACCACAAATGTGAAAAAGAAATCACTATTTTTGCAGAAAAAGAAAACAGTAATTCATGGAGATTGTAAAATGTGCAAAATACCTCTGTCCAAAATAATTTTAAAACTAAATAAATGACTCTGGGAGGCTAAGGTGGGCAGATCACTTGAGGCCAGAAGATTGAGACCAGCCTGGCCAACAAGGTGAAACCCCATCTCTACTAAAAATTCAAAAATTAGCCAATTGGCTGTGGTGGCACACACCTGTAATCCCAGCCTCTTGGGTGCTAAGGCACGAGAATCACTTGAACTCAGGAGGCAGAGGTTGCAGCGAGCTAAGATAATTGTACCACTGCACTCCAGCCTGGGTGAAAGAGCGAGACTTCTTTTCAAAAAATAAAAAATAAACTTAAATAAATGAAAGGTAGATGTTCATGTTATAAAATAATTACTTACACTATTTTAATTAAATAATACATTTTACTTTTTGAATTTTTTTCTAGAAGTATTACTTAGGACTGTTTATATTTTTAACTAAAAATATTTGTGTCCATTAAAATCAAATTTCTAAGTGAAAGTACAGAATGCTACAGCTTCTTTATTTCCTTCAGCATCTTTGCTTACCTGTTTAATCTTTCAAATAATGTCCCAAATCGTGTAGTTTTATGTGATGGACTGAAAACATCTTGACTTTTATTTAATTTGGAAAGCAAGGAATCAGAACAGTTAACAGTACTGCGCTGAAAAAAAAAATTTGAAGAAACTGCCAAAATAGTAAATGTACATATATACAATTTAAATTATTTACCATAAAATGTCATGTAAATGAACTACATTTATATTTTAAAATTGTAAAAATAGTCCAAAATAAAGTAATTTTACTACTTATTGAAAACAAAATAAATAGTTTCCTAACAAAAAAATCAATACCAGTATCTGAATAATTGTTAAAATAACAGAGTTGATATGATGGTAAGCTAACCATTTTCTCCAAGTTAAAAATAAAAAATAAAAAAACAAAAAAACACCCAGGACACCAAGATCTTGAATAATTGTAAGTTAAATTTCTCTGACAGAAAACAATAATTTGTCCCAATAAAAGAGCTATACTTGTCTCAGTTGTTCCATTTACTGAGTAACTTTAGATTGCTACTTTAATTTTTCTGAATATCAATATTATTCAGTTCAAAAGGGAGAGTGAAAAGACTATTGTGAAAAGAAGATAATCAATTTGTTAATGTGGAAAGTACCCTATAAATGTAACTTATTATATTGGCCCAACACTAATCTATTCAACAATAATTTATATCTGTCATACATTTGATTTATAACTCATGAAACATAGAAATGAGAAGTCCAAACACAACCAATGACAGAATTGTCAGAAAAAAAAAAAAAAGGAGAGTCAAAAAGAGACACTGAAAGTCTTTGGGGAAAAAAAATAGACTAAAGTCAGAGAGAGCTTATACTAATGTCTCAGCTAACTAATACATCTAAGAGAGAGTGACAGAGGTGCAAAACTTTATCCCTTAAAATAAGAAACAAATCAAAAGAGAAGAGAATATAATATTATATATTCGACAATACTACTTAACTAAGGATCAGGAAACCCCAAGTCACTTTTTGTTCTAACTTGTTTTTCAACTCATTTTCTTTTGTATTTTATAATTTCATTTTAATCATTTTCACTTTTTTTGAAATTCCTCCAAGTACGCTATTAAATACTTCCCTAGTATTTCATGATGTGACACTATGATTGAAAAGGGACATTATCTATTTTTCAGTCTTTTACCATGTTAAGCATAAAATTATTTACCTCTCTGGAGCTCATCATTAACCTGCAGTCTATAATATGTACAGACAAGAAAGTTAAATAGAGATTACACAGATGTTTTATCCTCTATCCTTAAACTATTTAATAGAGCAAGGATGAGTTATAAGCTGATCTAGAATGTAGGTTTTTGTCTTACGAAATATAAACTGAATGGGTAATTGAAAATGTCTTTCATTGCATCATTCAAAAATTATTGGGCCTTTATAACAAGGCTAGCATGGGTCACAGGAATGTAATACTTCATTTTCTCTTATCTGGGAAGTCTTTAATAAAAATTTTAATAAAATGGAATTATATATAACTATCATATGGCATATATATAACTGATATGCTATAATATATAGCTATAATATAATTTCTAAAATTTAAAACTATAAATTAATTATAAACTGATTTATAAATAATATATAAATATGTCATAAAACCACTGCATGCTAAAAATAAGATAAATTCAAAACTAAGTATTCCCATTAACAAGACATAGTGTTTGTATAAGCATTCTCCTCATTACCATTAGACATTAGTATAGTAACATTTAATTAAATTTCATTTTTAGTAGATTTCCTGGTATGCTCTATGACTGATGTATTTTAGAATCTTAATATTTATATATTTTATATTTTTAGCTTTAGAGCACACAATGATTGAACAACATTTTAGCACTACATCTCTATATATTTGTATAGTGTTAATTGAAAAACTTAAAATAAAAACTTGTCATCTTTCAAATTATAAAAATTATCAAGCCATCACTTTAAGAGACTACTACGACATCTCTGAAACTGTATATTGCTATTCACAGGACACTTTCTATATCATGCATATTGGGTCATCATGACATCACCAACTAATCAATTACAGTGATTATAAACTTCAACTACTATATAACACACTGAACTACTTTCAATTCTACTATCAATGGTTTTCTAAGAGAATGATACATTCCAAGATTTTTTTTAAAAAACACTCCAGTTCTGGGATTCACAATCTTCTACAGTGCAAAGAATTAAGTTTTTGATGTAAAGGGAATGAACCTTAATTTATCTCCTAATTTGTTTATATGTATAGCAATTCAAAATGTAAATATTTTAAATCTATAAAAAGAAAAAAAGAGTTTCATGAAAATATAATTATATAAAATGCTAAGAACTAATGATTCAAAGGTACCTGGTCATTCTGCTTTTTTTCATATGCAAGTTTCTGAGGAGTAGGTGCTATTCCAGATGTGAAATTTAGTTTTGAAATATGTCTGTTAGAAGGTAACTCCACTGAAAAAGATGATGGAGTGAAACTGCAGTTCTCTATTTTGCTGAACTGAGGGTGAAGCATACTATATGAGTCCATGCCTTGTGACTATAGGAAAGAAGATAAAATCATTTACATTACCAAAATATATAAACTAGAGAAGAGGAAAGTCAAAATAGTGAAATTAAAATAAGTGAAAAGGGCAGGGGTTACAAAAGAAAATGTCCTAAGGCAAGGCAACCCATCAGTAATTGACAGAACTTACTAGGAAGAGAGTGGTTACCAGTGAAGGCTATACTGAAGAGCACCCTTCCCTCTGCCTTCCCTACTCCTGCTTCTCTCCATCCTCCAGCTCCATTCCTGTAGGCTACCTTCTAAAGACAGGAAATCTGAGTTTCATTAACCCATAATCCAGGTGATAAGATTTCTAAGGGATTTTAGTATCATTGCCATTATCTTTCTGATCTAGCTTAACTCTGGCAATTCAAAGGAAAAAAATGATAGCTAACAATATGACATTAGATGTTAAAGTTTCAAGCTTTAATTATAATCTATGCATTTTCTAATTGATTAAAATTTTATTTGCTAAGAAAATTATTTGCTATACTTTGAAAGAGAAATCATCTTGGGATCCACGTGAGGGTTGGACATCACAATTTGATATAAAGTAATCTGGTTACTATGTTTGAACAGATGAATTGCTCAATAATCACGTGAACCCAAAGTAAGAATCCCTAAGTGAACTGTCCTTGGCAGCTCATCAGTAACAAGCAGAATCAAATGTTATGCAAACATAGGCCTAGTCACATTACCAGCAGTCCAAAGAGATTCTCATAAGCAATCAATTAAAATATTCTTAAGGCATAGATTTCTCACCTGGAAAGCTTTTAAAAGAATTAAAGACTCAAAATTTTCTTTAAAATAATTTTCTCCAGTATTCAGACATTTAGATCATTAGGTAGCATATCACAATTGCTGAAATAACCTATAGAATTTTTTTAAAAATCTCACCTGGACTGGGCCAAGATCTTCCTTGCTACTTAGTCTTTGACAGTTTACACTAATGAAAAGAAAAATTTAGGTTAAAAATATAAATTGAAATAAAATCGACTGTCCTTTCCTATATTTAAAATTCATACTGTTCTACACAAAACATATAGAAACCTAAGTAAATCACTACAGGGTCATAATATTACTAAGTTTTATAAAAATTATATTAATACTAGATACAGACATTTTTATGATAAGGTAAGTCAAACAAAGTGTACAAAATCTGGATCATTTGATGAAGGTCTTAATCATTGCATAATACTGTTAACAGCCAAACAAACAAAAACTGGGGGTAGAAGGTAAGTATTTTATACATTTTCGAGTGAGTAAAAGTGTTGTTAATAACCAGTTTAAACACCTAATAATATAAATCCTAGCTAAAACCTACTTGGTTTCTGTATCATCAAGGCAGAGTTTAGAAGGTACACAGTGAGGCGACATTGTAAGTTCTAAATTATGCTTTCTTAGGGGCATTTTTATGTCTCTATTCATGTTCACATGGGTTGGTTTTCTCACAGTTTCTATAATAAAAAATATATAATTATAATTTTAAAATAAGAATAAAAAATTGTAAAAGTACTGTTTAATAAATCATGTTCATTACATAAACATATATCTAAGAAATTTTACTAAAACATTTACATTCTATCAGTGCTAAAATAAATCATTACAATATAAACAACTATCAGAGACTTTAAAACATATTCATCATCTTATATATTCCTCATTATAGCTGCCCTATTAATTTAGTTCTACTTTTTCTTCCACCAAGATTTCTATGATCTCCAGACTAGATTAGTTACTATGTTATATATTCCCACAGTACTATATATATTTTCCCTTTCTCTGGTCAGTACTTTCACCTACTCTATTTTTGTGATACACCCACCCAAACTATATACATAGTTATAGTGTAGATTTTATATCTTCTTATAAAACTCTGCCTCAAGCCAGGCATAGTGGCTCATGCCTGTAATCCCAGTTACTAAGGAGGCTGCAGTTGGAGGATGGCTTGAGGCCAAGAGTTCAAGACCAGCTTGGGCAACACAGTGAAACCCTGTCTTTAAAAACAAAACAAAATAAAAGTCTTGTCTCTCTGGATAAAATAATTGATTTGGCAGTAGCCATCTGACTAAAGGTGAACCAATAATCGTATCCCATTCTGCTAGTTATAAGCAAAATTTTTTCACTGTGAGATTGGTACCAGTAGCACAAGGAAATATTCTTACAGTGGAATTTTAAAATGTGGGACCAGAGAAACAACTCTCAGTATTTCCTTGGTGGCAAAACTAGAGAAGGTGAGTAATATTAGTTTCTTAAGGCCATGTTTTGAGCCTCAATGATGAAGACAGTCTGAGAGAATAAAGTTAATGACTGAAGTGAAAAAGAATCTTGATAGTATTCAAGTCCCTGTTTCAAGTCATCTCTGAGGCCCACTGCACCATCACTCTTCCTGTTAAAGGAGTAAAAAGATAACTGTTTTGAATTTCTGTCATTTGCAGCCATGAGTCCTGATTAGTAAAGCTTGCTTTCTGTTTTATCCTCAGCACCCAGTAGAGTACTTACAGTGGGTACCCAATAAAAATATGCTGAAGAAATAAATGAAAAGAAAGTGCAGGAGTTCAGGCCATTATCCCAAAATAAGTCATCTTGCTATTTAAGAAAACAGCAGAAGCAGGAAGGTTACTCTCAGCTTTCCCCTGAAGCAGGTCATAAAACCCTCATTCGAGAAGTGCTCTGGTTATACTTGGAAGAAAATAATATCCCTATCTCTGAAGACGCAGGGTCACAAAGAAGAATCTGAACAAAGAGGCCTTGCTAAGATCCCCTTAGTTTATTACTATTAGATCATTCTTTTAAAAATCCAATCATACTTCTTGAGGACCATCCACTTTTTCATCAAACCTGGCAAGAAAAATACACAAGTTTAGCCATTTCTTCCAATCTTAAGATCTTAAATTTCTTATCAAGGCTCTTGTGTCACATAAAACTTACTAAATAAATCTGTATGTTTTTCTCCTGTTAATCTGTCTTTTGTTATTGAGGGTTTAGCCATAAACCTAGCAATGGATGAGGAAATATATTTTTATTCCCCTACGACTGGGAATAAAGGTAAATACATCAAAAAGATTTACAACAATAAGTTTTATTCTCAAAATCCATGAACAATGTATTTATTCTTTCTAAAGTATAACTAAATTTACTTGTGTAAACTGTTATCTGTGGAGGGAGAAAAAAAATGACGGAGAAAGGAAATGAGGAAATATTAACAATACTCTGATCAATTTCTATCCCTTCCTGATAAATTGTCTTATTTTTATGCTCTCATTTTTAGCAGTTGTTTTAAAAATTAAATATCAGACACAAGTTCCTCTAAAAGAGGAAAAATATACTCTAATTAAGCTTTTTATTTACTTGAAGTATCAAAATATATGACAAAATGGACTTTATTTTGCAGTATTAGACTTCTATGATTAACATCCCAGGAAAGTGTAATAAATAATTCAAGTGATGACATAGGAAACTAGTCATTGAAGCAAAAATCTTTGCAGATCTTCCTTTCAGACATACCCTTTAAATAGTAAAGAATAGTTAATTTGTTGATATGTATTAACATTTATTCCCTGCTCTCTAGCTAAACTTTGGTAACTACCTGCCTGTATAGAATAATGTAACAACTGTACTATAATAAGTTTAGTGACACCTAATAAATTAATTTTATATAACACATACACAAAATAAAAATAAAAATTGGATTAAGCAACAAAACGTTTTAAGCAGATATTAACTAGGCATCTAATTTAAGAGAGCAACCAAATTTTAAAATTAATTTTCCACATGCTTTGAGCTCAAAAATTACAAACTAATTAGAAGACTAAACATTATTATGATCACATCAAGTTCAAAACAGAATGCAATTGGAATGACTTACCAGGAATTTTCTTCTTGCAAGATATCTGATTTACCATATATAGGTTAAGAATGTCTAAGCTGACAGCAGAATTTTTGACAGGAGATAAAACTCCCAGTGATTTCATTTTTGATTTTAACCTGTGTTTTTCAAAATATTCCTAAAATAATTAAAAATTAAAAACAATGCAGCAAATATGCGGTTTTAGACAGAATTATAAATAATAAAAAAGCAATCATGTTATTAAGTCATTGACTTGATACTTTTATATTTTGTGACATCTTTATATGTTTATAAATACATTACAATTAATCATAACTTGCAGTTTGCCTAAAGACTAAATTTCACAGCCTTTTATCATCTTCCTTAAGCATAACCTTTAAAACAGAATGCTATAAAGCTATTCTCTGAAATCAAAAGATTAGAAATTATCTCTATATAGAAAGTTAAAAAAATCTGGTAACAGAACAATTCTGACAGGCTAAAATCTTGTTCTTGTTTTTCTACAAAGTATGCTATTCTGCAGACATAGAAAACCTTAAAAATATGCACAGCTGAGTGCCATTAAAAGTCAACAGAAATGAAGAAAAAAAAAGCTATGTGCAAATTAATCTGCAACCAAAGCCAATTTCGTTTATTTGTTATCCCTCCATGATTCCCAGATGTTTGTTTTTTTAACAAGACTTGCACATAATTATCACTTTATCCAGTTTTTATTTTCTTTCTGTTTGAACTGTTATTATTCTTTCTTATTGCCATTCTTTTTCTTTCAGGTTACATCATTAATTCATTTAAATAAAAATTAACTAATATTTATTTATCAAGCAACTATTATGTGCTAGGTTGTGAAAACATCTTCTCTTCCATTAAATAACTCATAATATAATGCTATGAATGTAAATATAAATGCGAAATTGTCAGAAATGAGAAAAAGCCAAGATGGCAAAATATTTAGTGCAAGAGGTCATAATTTGAAGAGGTTACATATCATATTTATTTTCAAGAAGTTGAGGCTCTTTCACATTAACATTTCAGAATATTGTTAATTATAACTTTTAAGTTTGTAAAAATCTTGTAAGAACTATAACAGACTTGCCAATGATCACACACAAAAAAGTAAATGTCTTGTTTTACAAAATAAATAACAGATAAAAGGTATTTGTTCATATTTCATTTGAGTGATCTGGAACTCCAAATTAGACTAAAATGTATTTTTAAAGACCATACTATGGTTAAGCAATGAAATAACAGGATCTTCAGGATGTAAATAGTTTTCCACCTTGAAACAACAACTCAGTCAATGCTAGATCTTATAATTGATTGTGTCCTGGAATTAAGAAGTTGTTAGTTCATCTGTACAAAGTACAAAGGCACTGTACTTTGTGATGGATAAGACCATAGTGAGGGAGATGATGACACAAATAAATGCAACTGAGTGTGATTGGGGATGGTATCAAATCCTAGGAAAGGTATGGAAATTATTGTTTGGGGATAGGGTGGGTACAGGGAAGGGAGGAGGACATGGAAGACTTCTTTGGAAATGAGTTCTAAGATAGATGGATGAGTCAGAGCTATCCAAAGAGGGTAGGAATATAAGGTTCCAGGAATAAGGAAGAACAATACAAAGACTGTCAAAGGGACTAAGCCTTTATTCCAGGAAACATGTTGAAGAAGTTTGTCCCATATTATCCAGCCATCATAATAGCCTCTAATATCTGTTCCAAGAAAGAACAGAAGTATGTAACTAACTGATTAACTTGACAAGACTAAGCTCAATTTTTTTGTCAAGTCTCACTTGGTAAAAACAACTAGAAAACAATTTGAAAAGAACTAGAAAACTTTCAGAAACTAAGTAATCAAATTTTAACTTGAAAACAGTCATTAAAAAGGAACAACCAGAGAGATAGAAATAAAATCTGGAGAATGTACCAAAGAAAGATCAGAAAGAATTTGCTTTGTGTAGGAGATGACAACGTAATAAAATAAATCGGACTGACAAATATCCTTTCAATTGAACAGCATAAAGTTCATTGTTGACTTTAGCAAGATGACTGAGAAATGAATGGGATGCAATATAAAAGGGGATAGCTGGGAAGGAAAAGAATCCAGAGACTGCCACTATCCTGCTTTTATAATATCACTCCATTGTTTTTATTGAAATTTTACTACCTTTGATCATATTAACATTATTGGGTTTTTTTTTCTGTTTTAGAACTTTATATAAAGGAATCTTACTGCTTATATTCTGTGAGTTTCTTCTTTTGCTCAACATTATGTATTTGAGATTCATCTGCATTAATTATATGTAGCTTATACATTTGCACTGCTATGCTATTACTTGCATATGCCATAATTTGTTTAACCATTCTACTATTCTACTGCTAATGGATGTTGGGACAGTTCTCTTTCCCTCTCCTTCCTTCCCCTTGCCTGTCTTCTTTCTCCATCTCTCTCTCTCTGTTTGCTATTTCAGCATAACAATGACCCAAACAAATCTTGTACATATCCAAAAGGGCACATGTACAAGGGTTTCTTTGCTCAGTTGTAAGGTATATACATGCTCAGCCTTACTATGGAATGCAATCAGTGTAATAAAAAATAAAGACAAAATAAATGGAAGTAGTACACAGGTTATGACACCATTACTGTACATCATTTATCTAGGTAATAAATGATTATTTAAATTAGAATACCAATACTCAGGTAGTGAGAAGTGGTCAGATCTGGGATACATTTTGGAATTAGAAGGACAGCAGGAATCAACAATGATCTTTAAGTCTCTGACTGAGCAAAATACGTGGCTAATCAAGCTATCAACAAGGATGTAGAAGACCAAAGGAAGATGGCCTCCAGTTTCACTTAGGTGAATGTATTAGTGGTAGAAAAGCACTTCAAGGTTATTAGTCTCATAAGGCTGACAAAAATAAAAACACTTTTTCTTTACCTTTTGCTTTCTTCTTTCCTGCTTGATCAGAACCCTGGACCTGAAAAAAGCAGCAGAATAAAATATATAGTGATCAAAGAAATGGCCTTTAAGACAACTGCCAGTTTAGCTTAATTGAAGATTTAGAGTTAAAATCTAAAAGTGTAGTATCATTGCATTTTTTCTGAAAAGAAACTATAAAAATATTCTTAAAGTATTTATAGTATGAAGTTTCACAAAATTTTCTTAGGAAATCCAATATCTAATAAAAAATACTGCATGTCAATGATGAATAATTAAGTATAAAATAAATCTGAATTCTAATGCTAAGATAAGCAAAAAAAAATGCATTGGAAAGAATATATCCCTGAAACATTCTTATCTGATAGCAATATTCTCTGTCAACATTCTTCTTTTTCTTTGTATTTCAACATTCTACTGAAATCTACAGAGAACAGAGAGGAAGTTGAAATCTATTTGGGATCTAAGGAAATGTGAAGTGTATTGCTAGAGCAACATCAGTTACGTTAATATATCAGCCATATGTACTTGAAATTTCATATCTATGTCTTAATATGTTCAGGCTGCTATAACAAAATACTATAAAGCCAGGGAGCTTACCAAGAAGAGAAATTTATTCCTCACAGTTCTAGAGGCTAGGAAGTCCAAGATCAAGGCACCAACAGATTTGATATCTGGTGAATGCCCACTTTCTGGTTTACAGATGACATTTTTTTGCTGTATCCTCATTTGGTAAAAGGGGTGAGCTGACTCTACGTAGCCTCTTTCACAAGGGTATGAATCTGAATCACGAAGACACTGCCCCTGTGACCCAATCACCTTCCAGAGCCATCCCCTCCTAATATCATCACCTTGGGAGTCAGGATGTTAACATATGAACTTGGGGGAAAGACAAAAATTGAGACAACAGCATCTTCTTTAAAAAAAAAAAAAAAACCTAGTAGTTCTGGATGTGCTTTGTATCTATAATCCTTGAGCCAAATACAGCACTGAAGACCAATGATAGTGCAGTATTTAATGGTTATAAGATATTTGTTCTATTAATAACAGCGGAACACTATAAAATATTCATGACAGTATTACCAGATTTACATAACTTTTAGACATGCATAACACTATGGTCTCAAATTCAAGATTTATGTAAGAATAAGTAAAATGACACTGTGTCTTAACTGTATACTATCTAATATCAAAATAATAATTGCTAATACTAAATAGCATATATCTTCCACCATTCTAGACACTTCAGACACTTTACATGTATAAGCTCATTTAATTCCATGGCAACTCTGTAAGGTAGGTTCTGTTTCTGTACCCACTTTACTGATGAGGAAACTAAGGCAAAGACAGGTTAAGTAACTTCCCCAAGATCACACTGCTTATAAATGGTAGAGGCAAAATTGAAATCCAGGGTGTCTGATATTGGAGTTCTTAGCCAAAACTGCCTTTCAAGTATGTCAACTGAGAATATATGAAGTTGTTCATTTTTCCCAGTGATTTTCATAAACTTTACCAATGACAATTACTGAATACCCCTGACTTTGCTACTTATTGAATATGTTCTTTAATATACTTCTCATTAACTTTGTTCCCCCATGCAAGAACTAACCAGGCTCAACCCTACTTAGTTTCTGAGATCAGGCACGTTCAGGGTGGACTCGCTAGAGTCCAGCTGACTCATTAGCTATGTCTTAATTGACTATTTGAACTCATTGAGCAAAGAACCCTATATATTCTGCTGCATGCAGCATCATAAGTGTACTGCTGCCATTCAAACTTTACAAAGAAAAATGAAAAAAAATTTCATTTTACCGACTTATTTGCTAAGACTAAGGAGGACCTGAGAAATCAGTTTATTCTCCATCATTTTAAAACTCACAAAGCTTATGCACAGAAAGTAAAGTGACTTTTCAAAGTTCAGAAATATAAAAAGTATAACAGAGCTGGCAATATTACGCAATCCAGACTAAAAAGAGATAACAAAAATAAATGTTTATTGTATAAGCAGTTTCCATGTTATAGAGCTCAGTAAAATTAAGAAATCAAAGTAAATATAGTCTTCATATATGTATGCATTGTGTGATTTTATTCCAGGCTGATTTTCTCTTATCCAGGACATTCATGGCTATCACCAAATTCTACATACTACTTAATGCCCATCCCTATGTGCCTAAGAAAAAAATTAATTAGGTATTTAAGACCAATATCGACATCAGCCTAGCAATCACTAGACTGCGGTGAAAATGAAAAAGGATTCTGACATATATGTCAAAGGTCATTTCTTAAACAGAACATTTTAGATTATTATTAAGGCTATCACTGTTATTAATAGAATGATATGTCCACATAAACTAAATATTGTCCCGAATATAGTCACTCTCAATTATTTGCACTAAAGAAGAAGAGTGCATCAGTCAGAATTCTTATAAGCAATAGAAAGTATATTTGGCTGATTCAAACAGAAAATAAATTTATTAAAAGAAAAATGGATAGCCAAACAGATCTGCTGAGAAGGCATGCTTGTCAAATGGCAAGAACAAGGAAGTCTAGGCAGTTTTGGGAATATGGCCAAAATCATGCAACAATTATTCTCATAAGGATACCACTGCTGGCACTGGTGAATACTGGATACTGCTGACTATACCATTTCCACTCCTGGACAGCACTTCCCCTGGCATCTCTGTCCCTGAAAATTCAATCCTGCTGCAGCTCCTGCAACTGCCTACTACAAAAACAGATGCACTGCAGTCCCTGTTTTCTTGGGTCACTAACTCCTGATTCAATGTACAAGGCAAGAACACCAAAATTGAGCTTAGATCATGTATCACTAGCTGCAAAACAGACTGGGAAACAAGTCTCCAGGCTTGTTTATTTGTTTTTTGTTGTTGTTGTTTGTTTGTTTGTTTTTTCGGCTTCTATAGAGGAAGGCAGCCTGTACCTAACACCAAAACTCCTAAGGTGGTAGACAGATACACCACACATAAACAGGGGCCTCAGATACTGGTATGCCAAAGAACACAAATGTCTACTACACTGCTACAATAAAATGAAAATAGGTAATGATCCAAAGGTCATTTTTATTTGGCTATGTCAGGATATATGTACTCCTTAATAGTTGCTTCTTGTGGTTTGCTTAGGCTAATATAAAAATAAGACAACCGTAATAAGAGACTATATTCCCTAAGTAGTAGGGGAAACTAACCAGAACTTTATATATGACAAAAATAAATTATAATTAAAAGGACTTGCCAATGAATCCCTAGTAGTCATTGCTAAAAGCATTCCACACTGACTACTGCAGTATTATGTATGTAGTCAACTGTCATAATTACATTGTAAATGGTCTCTTTGATTTTATGCAAATGTTCTCCAATATATTTTACTACATAAGTAATTGCTTTAAAACACAGCTCTAATTATCATTTAGGGATATGACTTCCATAGCATGCACCTACTTAGCTTTCAACGTTGTTTTACATTCTTCGACTTATGTACTACAACACTCAACCAAACTAAAATATGTGTTTCTCTAATTTTTGTCTTGAAACTTAAATTACTAGAGGATTGGGAGTGAGCTAGAAAGTGGGAATGAGGTTCATCTTTTTTAAACAGTAATTACTACGTTATTCTGGAAAATGAATTTTTAAAGAAATATGTACAATCATCTCTTTCAATGAAAGTTTGAATGAACAATATTAGTTGTCATTATAATAGGTATTGATTCAAAATCATTTTGTACTTAAAAGAAAATTGGTAGGTCATAACCTCTTCATAGAATCCTCCACAAGTTATCTATTCTAGATAGTAGTAATATAAATATTTGTTACTTTATTCTTTGCTAAGAAAGAAAAAAATTAAAAACAAAAAAGTATAAAGGGGTTAAAGGAGAGAAGGGAGGGAGAAGGGAAGAGAAAGGAGAGAAAGGAGAAAAAAAGGAGTAGAGGGAGAGGGAAAAACAACCATGCTAATTACAGAAACGCATCAGGGCATTTCTGCTCCTTGCTATTACTTCTAGTAAGGAAAGGTTTAAAGGAAAATGCTAAAGAAATACTTTCTTTTTTAAAAAAATTAAAAAGACACAAATGCAATAAAGTTACCAAAGAAATGTTTAAAAAAACACTAACATGTACATTTTACATGGAGTATGCAAGAGATATTGAAACTGTATTAGGAATTAAAAACTATGAGTGTCATATAAACACCATATACTGTCAGTATTAACTTGTTCTTTTTTGCTTCTTTTGTTTTATTTTGCTTTTTAGTTTCTTCATCAGTTTGTTTTCTTAGGGGCATTGTGTCATGCAAAAGAAACTGCTCCAGACTGTTAAGCTCTTATAATAATATCTTAAATTTGATGAAAAGTGGAAAATTTAAAGAAAATTAATAGCCCAATAATTAGCAAATGAAAAACAGTATTTTATGGTTTCGTGACACTGAAATTAATATTAATTTAAAACATGAAAATCTAACATTGTTAGCTGGTAGACTTATTAACATTCAAGACAGTAACTAGCCTAGAAAAAGTACTTACATTGGCTTTCCACAAAACTAAAGCAGGTCGACCTGATGTGTTAGGAATAGTAATGATATATGTTAGAATGTTATGGCTTTTAAGTAACTTCCCTTATAATGCAAAAGAAAAAGTTTTCACATAAGTATGAATTACCAAAAAAAGGTATTAAGGAAAAAAACGTTAAACCAATAAAGCAAAAATTCATCTAATATTTAGAATACAGAGCCTAATTAAAATAAGTTCTCGGAGACCGAATTCTTGCAGTATTTTCACACAGAAAACACTGTTCCACAGCTACAAGCTGTAATCATAAACACGAACAGCCATTTCCCGAGTCACACAGTGGAAGATATTTCAGAATGCAAATGACACTCCAACACATAAGTATATTTCAAGCTATTTGCATTATCACTAGTTCAAGAAGAAAAAAAATGAATATACTCATAGTTCCATTAGTACTATCTCTAAAATTTACAAATAGTCTTGAAACATTTAACATATTTTCATCAAAATAACTAAACTGGTTTTTAGATGCAATTTGGCAACTAATTTTATAGGTACAAACTTCGTAAGATTTCCACACAAACATTCCTGATAGTCTTACAGGTAGCTAGACATGGATTTGAATTTTAATAAGCAATATTATAAATACCATAAAACCTCTACATCCCTAAAACAAACTTCTTTTTTTAATACTTTAAGTTCTAGGGTACATATGCACAACATGCAGGTTTGTTACGTAGCTATACACGTGCCATGTTGGTTTCCTGCACCCATCAACTCATCATTTACATTAGGTATTTCTCCTAATGCTATCCCTCCCCCAGCCCCCCGCCCACCAACAGGCCCCAGTGTGTGATGTTCCCTATCCTTTGTCCATGTGTTCTCATTGTTCAACTCCCACCTATGAATGAGAACATGTGGTGTTTGGTTTTCTGTCCTTGTGATAGTTTGCTGAGAATGATGGTTTCCAGCTTCATCCAGGTCCCCGCAAAGGACATAAATTCATCCTTTTCTATGGCTGCATAGTATTCCATGGTGTATATGTGCCACATTTTCTTAATTCAGTCTACCATTGATGGACATTTGGGTTGGTTCCAAGTCTTTGCTATTGTGAATAGTGCCACAATAAACATACGTGTGCATGTGTCTTTATCATAGAATGATTTATAATCCTTTGGGTATATGCCCAGTAATGGGATTGCTGGGTCAAATGGTATTTCTAGTTCTAGATCCTTGAGGAATCGCCACACTGTCTTCCACAATGGTTGAACTAATTTACACTCCCACCAACAGTGTAAAAGTGTTCCTATTTCTCCACATCCTCCCCAGACTCTGTTGTCTCCTGACTTTTTAATGATCACCATTCTAACTGGCATGAGATGGTATCCCATTGTGGTTTTGATTTGCATTTCTCTGATGACCAGTAATGATAAGCATTTTTGCATATGTCTGTTGTGTCTGTTGGGTGCATAAACGTCTTCTTTTAGAAGTGTCTGTTCATATCCTTTGCCCACTTTTTGATGGGGTTGTTTTTTTTTCTTGTAAATTTGTTTAAGTTCTTTGTAGATTCTGGATATTAGCCCTTTGTCTGACGGGTAGATAGCAAAAATTTTTTCCCATTCTGTAGGTTGCCTGTTTTACACTGCTGACAGTTTCTTTTGCTGTGCAGAAGCTCTTTAGTTTAATTAGATCCCATTTGTCTATTTTGGCTTTTGTTGCCATTGCTTTTGGTGTTTTAGTCATGAAGTCTTTGCCCATGCCTATGTCCTGAATGGTATTGCCTAGGTTCTTCTAGAGTTTTTATGGTGTTAGGTCTTACATTTAATTCTTTAATCCACCTTGAGTTAATATTAGTATACAGTGTAAGGAAAGGATCCAGTTTCAGCTTTCTACATATGGCTAGCCAGTTTTCCCAGCACCATTTATTAAATAGGGAATCCTTTCCCCATTGCTTGTTTTTGTCAGGTTTGTCAAAGATCAGATGGTTGTAGATGTGTGTGGTGTTATTTCTGAGGCTTCTGTTCTGTTCCATTGGTCTATATATCTGTTTTGGTACCAGTACTATGCTGTTTTGGTTACTGTAGCCTTGTAGTATAGTTTGAGGTCAGGCAGCGTGATGCCTCCAGCTGAAAACCCAATCGTCTCAGCCCAAAATCTCCTTAAGCTGATAAGCAACTTCAGCAAAGTCTCAGGATACAAAATCAATGTGCAAAAATCACAAGCATTCCTATACACCAATAATAGACAAACAGAGAGCCAAATCATGAGTGAACTCCCATTCACAATTACTAAAAAGAGAATAAAATACCTAGGAATCCAACTTACAAGGGATGTGAAGGACCTCTTCAAGGAGAACTACAAACCACTGCTCAACGAAATAAAAGAGGACACAAACAAATGGAAGAACCTTCCAAGCTCCTGGATAGGAAGAATCAATAATGTGAAAATGGTCATACTGCCCAAAGTAATTTATACATTCAGTGCTATCCCCCTCAAGCTACCGCCGACTTTCTTTACAGAGTTGGAAAAAACTACTTTAAAGTTCAAATGGAACCAAAAAAACAAACTTTTTAATATAAATCTTTTAAAATGTAATTGCTGACAAGAAGAAAAAGGGTAGATAATGAACTGAGACTATTATAACGCTTACAGTTAAGTTTCAAGGAGTAAAAAAATCACACACTGCGTAACGATGGTTCCGTCAAGGACAGACCACTTATACAACAGTGGTCCCATAACAGTATAATGATGCTGAAACCTTCCTATCATCTAGTGATTGCCTAGTTGTCGTAACATGGTAGCAAACATTACTAACATGTTGTGGTGATCCTGGTATAAATAAACCTACTTCACTGTAAGTGGTATAAAAGTATAGCACATACAATTATCTATAGCCCATAATACTTGATAATGATGATAAAAGACTGTGTTACTGGTTTATGTATTTATTATTACTATACTTATTTTAGCACATAGTCCTTCTGCTTATTAAAAAAAAATAGTTAATTTTAGAACAGCCTCAGGCAGGCCCTTCAGAAGGTGTTCCAGAAGAAGGCATTGTTATCATAGGAGATGGTAGCTCCATGCATGTTATTGCCCTGAAGACCTTCCTGTGGAACAAGATGTAGAGGTGAAGACAATGAGATTGATGATCCCTAACCATGTGAGCCTAGATTAATATGTGTATTTGTGTTTTCATTTTTAATAAAAACGTTTGAAAAATTTTAATAAATTAAAAATAGAAAAAACTTAGACTAAGGATATAGTCTTGTACAGCTGTTCAATGTGTTTTAAGCAAAGTGTTATTATGAAACAGTCAAAAAGTTAAAAAGAATTTGTAACAAACCTGCACGTTGTGTACATGTACCCTAAAATTTAAAATATAATAATAATAAAATTTAAAAGAAAGTTTATAAAGTAAAAAATGTTCCAGTAGCTTAAGGTTAATTTATTACTAAAGAAAGAAAAACATCTTTAAACATAAATTTAGTGTAGCCTAAGTGTATAGTGTTTATAAAGTCTACAGTAGTATACAGTAATGTCCTAATGCTTCACATTCACTCACCATTCACTCACTGACTCACCCAGGTCAACTTCAGTACTGCAGGCTCCATTCATGTTTTATATGGTATTTTTACTGCATCTTTTCTATATTAAGATATGTTTAGATACATAAATACTTACTATTGTGTTATAATTACCTACAATATTCAGTACAGTAACATGCTGTATAGGTTTGTAGCTTAGAAGCAAAAGACTATACCATATAGCATAGGTGTGTAGTAGACTAGACCCCCTAGGTTTCTGTAAGCACAGTCTATGATGTTTACACAATAACAAAATTGTCTAATGGTATATTTCTCAGAATGTAACCCTGCCACTAAGCAACATGTGACTGTATATGTATGTACAAATGTGAATGTATATATACATGCATGCATACATACATATATACATATATGTGTATATAAATATATACACATTTAAAATGTTATTTGTGGACAAAAATATTGGTTTTACTACGTTGTCAATCTCTAAAATATTTTATACAAAAACCATTTTCAAAAATAAACTTATTTCTGGCTGGGTGCAGTGGCTCATGCCTATAATCCCAGCACTTTGGGAGGCCGAGGTGGGAGGATCACCTGAGGTCAGGAGTTCAAGACCAGCCTGGCCAATATGGTGAAACCCTGTCTCTACTAAAAATACAAAAATTAGCCAGGCGTGGTGGTCGGGTACCTGTAATCCCAGCTACTCGGAAGGCTGAGGCAGGAGAATCACTTGAACCTGGGAGTTGGAAGTTGCAGTGAGCCGAGATGGCACCAGTGCACTCCAGCCTGGGCAACAGAGAGAGATTCCATCTCAAAAAATAAAAAATAAAAATAAATAAACTTATTTCTCAAGTTAACATTATATATATATATATACAAATTTACACATATATATGTAAATATGGGAACATTAAAGCAAAAACAGTTCTTTATATCAGTTATCAGAAGGTTAAACAAAAAGTATAAGCAGAAATATTTATTGTATACATGTGCTATCATCAATTACTTAAACTGCATATGTCTCTAACAATGTGTTACTCATAGTTTTCAGAAGAAAGCAATTTTTCAGTATTGATTCCTTATATTTAAATTCTCTTCATAAAATTGCCTGCAATGTTTAAAATTGCATTTCGTTAACAAATTTAAAACTGTTGAACTTTTAATCAACACTCTGCATAATTCACATTAACTGAGAAAATACTTTCTCTACAGATAATGAAGTACCTGGTAAGCTCAGAACAAATTTTTCCAAATGGAAGATACTATCCAATTTTTGTTTGTATATAAGTATTTAGCCCAAATATTTTCACAAGTACTCTTTGTCATTCCATTTATACCTTATTTTTTACAAGATAAAACTTGACAAATAAGCAGCAATATTTGATTCTTTTAAATATTTATCTAAATTTAGATGCTACAAAACTGTAGGCTCCTTCAATTGCATTCTGTTCTTCTACAAAAAAAAAATAACCAATTAAAAGTAGGCACTCCATCAAAACCTTTGTACTAGTCACAATATTCCAATATATCTGAATATCAAAAATATATTTTCAAAATTAAATCTTGTGCAGAATTAAATTTTAAAAGCCTTATATTCAATAATTATAATTTACTAAGAGCTTCAAAAGTTGAATTTTTGATCAGGCCATTCATGGAATGTTTTAAATAAAAATTTCCAACTGTTTTTGAACAAAATGCCATCAAAATGTAGAGTACCTGCTTATAAAAATGTTCAATAGGCCGGGCACAGTGGCTCGCGCCTGTAATCCCAGCACTTTGGGAGGCCGAGGTGGGGGGATCACTTGAGGTCAGGAGTTTGAGACCAGCCTGGCCAATATGGCAAAACCCCATCTCTACTAAAAATACAAAAAATTAGCTGGGCATAGTGGCAGGTTCCTGTAATCGCAGCTACTGAGGAGGCTCATTTTAACAGAACTATTAATGGTAGTTTATATTTAGTTAAAAAACAAACACTGAGACAAATGCTAAACTGGGCATGCTACTAGGACCACAGGCATAAACCTTGACCGTTTCAGGCAAACTAGGATGATGTTCACTGTACGTTTAAGTATTACCCACATTTAACAGACGAAGAATAAATTTTCAACTTCTTTGTCTAGCTTACAAACTCACCATCAAGCAGACATATGCAGACATTATCTCCAACTATTTAGGTAATGCTTTTCTGTTTTGTTTTTCTCCATCGAACCTTCTTTTGTCCTTGCCTCTGAGTAGCCAAACTCTCAGCTAAACCTATCCTATGTTCTACTATGGTTCACATTATTTATTTTTTATATCCTATTTTGGCCTCTGACATTAAATATTTTCTAACTTAATGGCAAGTCATACTTTTCTTCCCCAATACACTACAACCTTATAGAAAAAGACTAAATTTCAGTTACTTTGTACTTACACCTGGCACAGTGCTTGGTACATAGCACTCAATAATATCTTGCTTAGATGAACTAGGTCTAGGCCTACATTTACAAATGGTAACCTCTCCCTCACCTAAATTCCAACAGAACTTTGCCTAGGCCTTTCTTATGACATTGATTGATTCCCCAATCTGAATTATAAAAATAAACCTCCCTAATTTAAAAAAATCTTATACTGCATGTATAGTGGTATATTTATAGATCTATAGCCGATCTGATTCTGAATAGCATTTTGCAGACCAAAGTCTGGTTATATGTTCCTCCTTTCTTACTACCACCTTCATATCTGAGGTAAGTATGAATTTGGTGAAACTAGTCATTAATAAACAAGAAAATAAAAGAATCTTTTCAAAATTAAAAACAAATCAATGCTTACATATGTTGTCTCTCAAATCTGCACTTCAACCTGATTAGAAAAATACAGGGTCTCCGTGGTGCCTTCCAGCAAATATGAAACCAATGTGAGAGGTGTAGGTCACTAAGTCCCAGATAAGTAAAAAAAAATTTTTAACTGGTGGGACTGACAATAGATTGATATTTTAATTTTGTCAAAAAAGGATTAAAAATAGAAGGGGGCATTTTAGTATCAAAAAATTTAACAAGGATATAACTTCAGAAAAAAAGAAAAAAGTCCATTAAATTGAAAAACCTGCTATTATCATTGATTAGCAAGTCTCAAAGAGACAGTAGTTTGGGAACTACTATCATATACATGTAAATTAATTTCTTAGATCAATCTCTTTGCCCTCAGTGAGACCCTGGTTTGAAATGCACTGTTATGATATCTTGCAAAGATGGCCAAAACCAAAACAGTAAAGCCAAACTAAGTAAGCAACTAAAAAAGGAAAATAAGGGAAGCTTATTTCTAATCACTGGCTCTTTCCTTTACAAAAAGACATTTTATATATGACTGGTAAAGTCCCTAAATTGAAGAGCAGCAAAGGGTCAAATGCCCAGTTTGGTTTATATAAGAAAAGCTGTAAAGATCTTTGCAACTATAAAACTGTAAAGATATTGCTATCAAATGATTCTGCAATTAAACTCACTATATCAGGTTTCTATAATATACAAGAACAATCTACTTCAAATTAGTGTATGCAATCTGGTTGCTATTACTAAAACATAAATTTGCTTCATTCATTCACTTGAGAAAAAGTATATAGAGAGCCCTTTATTAACTGTTTAAGTGTCTTAATGCAGACTCACCTAGTATCGCAAACTAACATTTTTCAAGTTCCTTAATACCTTCCCTTCCAACTCATCTTTCTCTTTCCTAAGAAGCCTTGCTGAAACCTAGATCTCCAATTTGATCAATTATTTATTTCACCTCCATTTTAACTTTTAAGAACCAGTGTTCGATTGTTTCCCTTTGGTGCTTGCTCTGTGCACTATTTCTGTCCTTCAAGGCTTAGTGTAACTTCCTGTTTCTCATTTCTCTGAATTTCCACAGCCCTTTTTTGTGGTACTTTTATTTACTTTATTTGTGGCACTCATCTTTCTATACAGCATAGGATGGAGGGCAAGCACACTCAACTCAAATCCTAACTCTGCCATTTACTAGCTGGGTGCCTCTAGTCAAGTCACTTAACATTAATGAACTATGCTTCAGTTTCCCCATCAGTAAAATGGGAATAATATTTGTATATAAATCATAGCATTTTCAAGAGCAAATGAATAAGCACTTAGAACAGTGCTTGTGACAATATTAAGTCCTATTTAAATATCTATTATTATAGTGATTTGCCTAATTTTAATCTCTACTTTCTCTCCTAGGTTCTTTTTGTGGACTAGATGTATTTTTCTTTTCTGAATCCCCCTGTACAGCTTACCAATTCCCTAAACAGGTAGTCAGGTAAAAAATATATTTGCTGAATTACTTTCTGTTGAAGGCTCTGGAATTGTTCTGAAGGAATTGTTCTCCAATCACTTCACTTGTCTATATTTTAAGTTCCTAACAGTTCTTCTTAAAATGTTCAGCCAAAAACATCCCTAACAATGGAGGGGGGTAAAAAGAACTCCAGCATGGTTTGGGATAAAGATTAAAATTTCTATTCTATTAGCTCCATCAGCTGCCACTAGTTACTAAAAGCACTAGTTCAGACTGAGGCCCTTTAGGACACTATGAGTGCCAAGATCAACTAATCTTGTGTACCCTTGCCTGTTCTGAAAATAGAAAATGGAGACACCCATTTTTTTTTATTACCAATCTGGGGCTTTACCCTAAGAAGCCTATCCCGCCACATAAAATTTATTTAAAATTGCAGTGTATCTGAACATTTCACAAGAGTTTTTCATTTCACTCTACAATGCAACCATGTTTGTGTGAAAGTTGATCACACAAATTGAGTCATTCTTGTGATGTCCAACCACATCAGAGTTGAGATGTCAGGAGGCAAAAGCACACAGGGCACATAGCATTGCTCCAAAAACATGATTCTCTGCAAGCCAAGCTTCTGAAACTGCCTAGGACCAGTTATACCAAATAACTACTAAAATGACCTTCCAGGAGGTCATTTTAACTACCACCATCACCCACCAGTCAAAGCTTGCCAGCTTCTCACAACTTCACTACTGTCAATGAACTTTCTTTCAAAACCATATGTAACATTTCTCTTTTTTTGTAAAATCCCCACCCTTTTCTTTGTTCTTCAGACATACCAAAGACATACTTTGTGTATGCCCTGAATTGCAATTCTGCCATTTCCAAATAAAACGTTAAATTTAGAGATTTGTCTCTACATTTTATTTTGACTTCGACGTTTGTATAAATTTAAACACATATTTTCTCCTAATCTCTGATTAAAACTGATCCTTCGGGGAGATGTAACCATGTTTCTTAAACCCCCTGGTACCTAATATCTCCAGATGCTGCACCTCCAGGTGCTGCAGTACACCTCATTTTCAGAAACACAATCCTAGGTTACATGTTTCCTGCAGTATATTGTTTTTGCATCCTCCCAGTAGCAACTAAAATATTACTCCCAAAATAGCCATAAAAGTTTGTGATATATGACAGAATAATAGCAACATCTACATTTTAATAGTGCTAAGCATTTGTAAAATTATTTCATATAATCCTATTTAATATTTTAAAGAATACTAAATTCAAAAAGATCACATTATAAGCATGTATCAACTAAATCCTGTTGAAGCCTGTAAGTAAATTTTCACTTTTCTCCAGAGTACGTCTGCTGCCAGAACACTAGCCAGAAGTAATTCAGGTAAATTTCTAAAATACAATGCTAGCATATTCAACAGGATAAAAGTGCATGCTAAAATTATCAGGCATAGCTACAATACTTAGTGAATACAAAAGCTGTCTTTCCTCCGATAAATTCTTTAGAATTCAAACGCATTATAATCTAACATATAATTACTGTCCTGGGTCTACTTGTGACAAAAAAATTACATGTAATGGCTTCTTGTTTCAATCAAAACAATTCTTCTCATCAAGAATTTTGATCAAATGAAATTACAGGCCCACATGATTTCCACCCAGCTGGACTTTAAGGTCAATAACAATGAATAGGTTATATAACACTAAATTTTCAATCTATCACGCTTTATGTGATCAATCCTAAATACAAAATAAATGGCAAATTCGCTCAAGTTATTCAAGTAAAAACGGTTCACTTTACTTCCCCTTAAAATACAAACTACAATTTGGATTTATGGTGATACTGGTGCCCTGCCATTGATTTAAGTGCAGCTGGGACTGGGCTGTTTCACAATTTCCAAATTCATGCAAAGACTATATATCAACTCAGAAGAACCTAAAAGAGGTGTAGACACGGAAAGAAGGCAGTAGGGGAGGGCTCAGGTGCTAAAAGGCCTCATTACAGTAACAGAGCATAGGACATGGAGAAGGGGAGGAGGGGCAGCAGGGAAGGTTACTCACAGTGGCCCCCACAGGTGAAGCCTTTGTAAAGGCAGTGAGTGGGGAGAAGCTGAGTTACTTTTGTCTGAGGAGTAGAGATATGGTTCTAGAGTCTCCAACCCGATTTGGATAACAATAAAAAGACCCTTTCCTACCAAGTTCTTTCCAGCTAAGGCTGTGACCTCTCCGCCAGGAACTAGAAAGAGGAGTCGTAGGAATGAATGTCCCAGCCTCAAACTCCAGCTGCACAACTTACCGGGACCCCCCGACCCAATTCATCTTCCCAAATCTTTTGACACTGAGGTCCCTGTGTCTAGAGCTCAGACATCTCAGCTCTGCGCCAAATCGCAGCTTCAGCAGGATCCCCCAGGGCCTCCTGACAACGTCAGGGCCCGAGTAAGCTCCTTCTGGTCCACCGCCTGAGGCCCAACCTCCCAACAGCCTCTGCGGCTTCTGCGTGTTCCTTCCGGTCCTGATAGGGCCGCAAGGGGACGCTGCGGCAAAGCAGCCGACCTGGCTGACATCGTTTTAATCGCTGAGGCAAGGCAGGCCTAAATAAATGAAAGCCTAAATTTTTGACAGGGGCCACAGGATTAGTGTTTCAAAACACCTCCATCATAATTTTATCTAGTTCTGACAGGTCTTTGACGTCTTTTTCGAGTCAGAGACCAGACTTGAGAAAGAAAAAGAAGGCAAGGACACAGTTAAGGATCGCTAACCCTAAAAATGATGTTTCCCTTCCCATTTATTACCCCATACCCAAATTCCTTAAATATCCTTCATGTGCAGTTTTAATACTCCGTAAACAGGTGTTTATAAGAAACATAGCGCTGTAGTAAGTTACCATTCTGTGCATTGAGTTGCTAAGAGAGCTTAAATCAGGCCGGGCGCAGTGGCTCACGCCTATAATCCCAGCACTTTGGGAGGCCAAGGTGGGCAGATCACGAGGTCAGCAGATCAAGACCATCCTGGCTAACACGGTGAAACTCCGTTTCTACTAAAAATACAAAAAATTAGTGGGACGTGGTGGGACGCGCCTGTAGCCCCAGTTATTCAGGAGGCTGAGGCAGGAGAATTGCTTCAACCCAGGAGGGCAGAGGTTGCAGTGAGTCGAGAGACTCCAGCCTGGGCGACAGAGCAGACTCTGTCTCTTAAAAAAAAAAAAAAAAAGAAAGAAAGGAAAAAAAAGAGCTTGATCAAAACTTAATTAGATGTAAAAGTCCAAAGATGTTAAAATCCTTACTGAAAAAAAAATCTCAAAACAAAAATTGAATTATGCTATTTGTTTCTGTATTAAGTTTGTATATCCTTACAAAACAATTATCTTACAAACTGTCCTATATTATTTTGGTTAGAAACTAGGCATCTCTTCTTCCAAATACATGCACAAATTACATTTTTTTAAATTGCCATGTTTTTTTCCAGAACATAACCTGGGGAAGATTTCACAATTTGATATATAATAATCGATTTTTTGTTAAGTCATTGGAAAATAGTACTTAGAATAGGATTATGTCCCAGGGTAGATATCTTGTTTAATCACAAAAATCCTGTTTTTTATGACAAAATTCACCAAGGTGTATCTAAAATTGAATTAGACCAAGTGAATTCAGCATTTCCGAGAATATCAGACTTTGACATGGAGTTGTTTTTTCAGTAACAAAACCATACAGGCAAGGAAGAAGCAATGGCCCTGTGTATCAGCCTTTCCTACTTTCAACATTTTAAAACATATTGACTAAATTAACTGAAAGGGGAAATAATTTGCTAAGGGATTAACTCTTTTTTTCTTTATTGTGAGTAAAGGGACATAAGGAGAGGTTGACCAAGTTGTTGGGTAAAGAACTAAGAGCTGGCACTCCATTTGTGGGAGCCAAAAATTAAAACAATTGAACTAACGGAGATAGAGACTAGAGTGATGGTTACCAGAGGCTGGCAGTGGGGGATGGGGAAGTGGGAATGGTTAATGGGTAGAAAAATATATTTAGATAGAATGAATAACATCTAGTTTTGATAGCACAACAGGATGATTACAGTTAACATTTATTATACATTTTAAACTAACCAAAAGAGAATAATTGGAATGTTTATAACACAAAGAAATAATAAATGCCTGAAGTGATGGATACTTCATTTACCTTGAAAGATTATTATACATCTTATGCCTGTATCAAAATATTTCATGTACCCCATAAACATATTCACCTACTATATACCCATTAAAATTAAAAAGAAAAATACATAAAAATTTTAATAAGAACTGAGAGCTGGATGGGCCATCTCTTCCCCCTTACTAGAGTCACTTCTTTCCTTCCAGTCACAGGGAGGCAGTGAATTAGGCTAAGGAAAGATTAACCTATGAGATACATGTTCAGACAAGATATTTACTGGGTTTTCCTTCACAGAAAAAGACATTTCCTTATGAACTAGGTATTAGGTAGTTATGTGTAATAGCTGAAATGTTGACCTAAAATCTCATTTTCAGTGCTGTTTATGCCTCCATGAGTAAGACTAGCATGACTGATAGATAATAAGAGAGTCCAATGCTGTGCTATTTTAGGGCCAGTAGAGCAATTAGGTAATCTCTTGGGTCAGGAAACAGTTCAAGAAAGCAATACAGCACAGATGAAATACTATTAAGCATTTGTTGAAAAGGAAATCCATTCGAAATTCTCAAACCTTAAACAATTTATCTTTACCTATTTCTAAAAATTATTTACTTTCTGGATATTCATAATCTGAACATGCAACACATATACAATATACATTATACATACATTTATGTATATACATATATATAATTCTCTTTATTACAAAAAAATTTCTGATGTTTTACAGTTCATAAAACATATATAGTCTCTAATTTGTATTCTATATATATAAACTCCATTTAATTCATTTCTTTCATGGATATTGGTAGGGTACATGAGAATATCACACTTGAGAGCACAGTGATTTGAGAATTATTGATTTTAAAAATTATTCTCATTGTTTCTCAAGATCTTTTCTAAGAAGATTTCTCCCCTCTTAAGAAAATTTTAATAATCTCCCATATAAACACACTTGAAGTTGAGACGTTTGTGTGGAAATTAGGCCTAAGTATGTTTTTTACTACAGTAACAAAGATTTTTTTCTCCTCTTTCCTAGTTTGGAATTCAAACTAAATTAACAGTCTCTTAGCTTTAATTGCATACTGTCAATAGAAAAAAACTGAAAGAAGGCCGGGCGCGGTGGCTCACGCCTGTGATCCCAGCACTTTGGGAGGCCGACGGGGGTGGATCACCTGAGGTCAGGAGTTCGAGACCAGCCTGACCAACGTAGCAAAACCTCATCTCTACTAAAAATACAAAAATTAGCTGGGCGTGGTGGTGGGCACCTGCAGTCCCAGCTACTTGAGAGACTGAGGCAGGAGAATCACTTGAACCTGGGAGGCAGAGGTGGCAGTGAGCCTAGATTGTGCCATTGCACTCCAGCCTGGGCAACAGAGTGAGGCTCCATCCCCCTCAAAAAAAGAAAGAAAGAAAGAAAAGAAAAAGAAAAAACTGAAAGAAGTACCTTGACATTCTTAGTTTTTTACTTAAATGCCATATATTATTGACCTAATTGTCCATATGGCTTCCTGTCTTCTTGAATCCTTCCTCTGCCTTATCTGAAGGCTTGTGTCTAGTCTCAGACACTAGGACCAACTCTTACCCTTGAGAGCAGGGAGAGGTGAATGGTGGGAGTGAAATTTAAGTGGTTAGAGTTAGGTCTTCACCTAAGTGGCTCAATATCAAATCAAATTTCACGTTGACATTTTCCACACTTCAAGTAACTCACTTTCAACCTTCCTTGTACCACGATTCAGGTAACAAAATTTCTGTCTTGATCATTTTCCTCATAAATAATTCTTCATTCTCACAAGTCTCTCACTCCAGATGCTGAAAGCTTGTTCCTGCACTATAACCTCATTATCAGTTGGTAAACTGACCTACCTCCAGCTAAGTCCTATTTGAATCTCTAGTGTCCTTTGCTTCTAGAGTTCTCACTGCCATGCTCCTCCCCTAATATGGCTGTCTCTGGTTGTATGTATTGCAAACCACTTGCCTCGACTGCCAGCTGCTGTCTGCATCCTTCTGTGTACCATGTTCTGCCTAACAACATCCTGCCATCACCCCCAGTTAGGTTTACTCTGGCCTTTAACCTGTCCTGTCACTGCTAACCCTTTTGTGTGTAGCTGTTAGGAGATGTGACATAAATGAAAGGCAACCTTATCTTGCATACAACAAAAGCAAGAGCTTAGGAATAAAAGATTTTGGCAATAACTTCCATGACCACTATTATCTGTACATACAGGCTTAAAAAGTCTTAATGGGATGATGGATTATGCTACTAATATGGCCAGCTATCAAAAAAACTTGCATGAGTTTGACACTCATGTGTCAGTCAGTCTGCTGAATTGAATGCAAACAAATGAAGAGATATGTGATGATTGTCAGAATTAATATGAGTACATAAGAAAGAAGTTTTAAAATTTTAAGAATATGGTTACTTATGAAAGTGAGGATAGTTCTTTGTGATAAACTCAGTAATGAAGATCATTTAATGCTGAGATGGGTTTTATATTCTAGCACAGAGGTTTGCAAACTTCTATAAAGGGCCAAATAGTACATATTTTAGTCTTTGTTGCATCCACCACTGTGGCTTGAAAGAAGCCATAGACAGAGAGTAAATGAATGGGTGTGACTGTTTTCCAATAAAACTTTATTTATAAACACAAAAATGAGAATTTTATATAATTTTCACAGGACAAAATATTCTTGTTTTGAAGTATTTTCAACCACTTTAAAAATGTAAAAATCATTCCTAGCTTAAGGGTCATATAAAATTAAGTGGCAGGCTAGATTTGGCCCACCAGTTGTAATTTGCCAACTTCTGTTCTAGCTTGATGCATATTTTCCTAAGCTTTTAATTGACTGGAAATGTGTATGTATGTTGGGGGCCAGCTGCTGGTGAACAAAACTGGCTGTAGCTACTGAGCATACTCAGTGTCACTTAGAAATCCCCAGAAGTTTCAGAATATATATCACTTTTGTAAGATTTCAGTAGATACCACAAGCAGAAGAGCAAGCAGAAAGGGAGATTTCCGAGAATTTTAATGAGATGGGGGGCGGGGACAGTGAAGAGCAAAAAAAATGGTTTTTCCATATCCAAAAATATACTCAGCCCTGACTTAAAAAATGCTCTTGGCTGGGCGTGGTGGCCCACGTCTATAATCCGAGCACTTTGGGAGGCTAAGGCAGGTGGATCACTTGAGGCCAGGAGGTTGAGACCAGCCTGGCAAACATGGCAAAACCCATCTCTACTAAAACTACAGAAATTAGCCAAGTATGGTAGGCGCACCCTCGTAATCCCAGCTACTCGGGCTGCTGAGGCACCAACCTGGGAGGCGGAGGCTGCAGTGAGCTGAGATCGTGCCACTGCACTCCAGCCTGGGTGACAGAGAGAGACTCTGTCTCATAAAAAAAAAAAAAAAAAAAAAAAAAAAAGCTTTTTACATTTTCAAAAATATGCAGAATTGTCCTTGACTGTTGAACAATTTAAATCCTCCATTATGGATGTGAAGAATTTTAAGACTCTTAGTTTTTATCAAATAACCAAATGGAAATAGGAAGTAGCCAGTAGATTATCTCTACAGCTAAACAAAACAAACAAAGCAGAAACCTGCAAAAGACAAAGCATTCTTGAAAAATGAAGTAAGGTCCTAGAGAAGCTATTTCCACCATCCAACACCAGCTGAATTCCCAAATGGTTAAACTTTCACTATAAGTGCTACCCCACTCCAAGTAAAAACTACCTAACACATGGGAGTAGTAAACATGAAACATTGCTCTCATTTATTTAATAGTCGTCACCTTGTAAATAAATATGAGTACATCAGATCTCCAGTTATGGGGCTGGAAGATTTTTAGCATAAGGACAAGTAGGATGCAGAGGAAAAAGGGAGAATGGCTAGAGGCATAGCAAATAATTATTTTCTGTAACACGGAAGACTTTTATCCTATTTATTTACAAGGGAAACCCTCGATTACAACTTGTCTATTAGGTTCTGAGACCTTTTGTGAAATCAGACCCCCAAAAAAGCCGGGGGGATCTGTGAAAAACAGATCCAAGTGTATTTGATATTTGGCATTCTCCGGTGTCCCTCCCACTTGTCACTTTCTTTTCTGATCCGTTTCAGATTCATTCCATATCCTTTTCATATTCATTTTATGTTGATCCTCTTGTCCCTCCTCCCTCATTTTCGTGGTTCCTTCTCCCTCCTCGTCTCATTAAAACTCTTGCAAATCTCCCTTTCTGCTTGCTCTTCTGTTTGCGGTAGCTGCTGAAATCTTACCGAAGTGATGTATATTCTGAAACTTCTGCGGGTTTCTAAGTGACATTGAGCATGCTCAGTAGCTAGGGCCGGTTTTGTTCGCTTGGAAATCTCCCTTTCTGCTTGCTCTTCTGTTTGCGGTATCTACTGAAATCTTACCGAAGTGATGTATATTCTGAAACTTCTGTGGGTTTCTAAGTGACACTGAGCATGCTCAGTAGCTAGAGCCGGTTTTGTTCGCCAGCAGATGGCCTGATTCGACCTCTCCAAAAATAGACATTTTAACTCTCTGAACTCCTGTTTAAGGAAGGATGTAATTCGCTTTGCTCTCTCCTCATTTTCAAGGTTCAAAGGGAAGCTGCGAGGATTCCAAGGTCCCACCGCCCTCACAGCCAATGAGGGGCCTGGGAGGGAGGAGCTTGGTGCAGCTTGAGCTTCTGAGAGAATCATTCCCGGTAGATGCAGCGGAGTCTGAGCTCTGCTGCATCTGTCACAGCAGAACAAAATTAAAAACACAACAGTGGAAGAGAAACGCTGCAGACTATGGGACGCTGTAGGACTTTCTAAAACATTTGCTGGGGATTTCTGTGAAGCATGATCTTTTAAAACGAATTCTTTTGGAAGCCGGTTTGGGTAACTGGGAAAATGACACATATGCTAAATGCAGCAGCTGATCGAGTGAAATGGACCAGATCGAGTGCTGCTAAGAGGGCTGCCTGCCTGGTGGCTGCGGCATATGCTCTGAAAACCCTCTATCCCATCATTGGCAAGCGTTTAAAGCAATCTGGCCACGGGAAGAAAAAAGCAGCAGCTTACCCTGCTGCAGAGAACACAGAAATACTGCATTGCACCGAGACCATTTGTGAAAAACCTTCGCCTGGAGTGAATGCAGATTTCTTCAAACAGCTACTAGAACTTCGGAAAATTTTGTTTCCAAAACTTGTGACCACTGAAACAGGGTGGCTCTGCCTGCACTCAGTGGCTCTAATCTCAAGAACCTTTCTTTCTATCTATGTGGCTGGTCTGGATGGAAAAATCGTGAAAAGCATTGTGGAAAAGAAGCCTCGGACTTTCATCATCAAATTAATCAAGTGGCTTATGATTGCCATCCCTGCTACCTTCGTCAACAGTGCAATAAGGTACCTGGAATGCAAATTGGCTTTGGCCTTCAGAACTCGCCTAGTAGACCACGCCTATGAAACCTATTTTACAAATCAGACTTATTATAAAGTGATCAATATGGATGGGAGGCTGGCAAACCCTGACCAATCTCTTACGGAGGATATTATGATGTTCTCCCAATCTGTGGCTCACTTGTATTCCAATCTGACCAAACCTATTTTAGATGTAATGCTGACCTCCTATACACTCATTCAAACTGCTACATCCAGAGGAGCAAGCCCAATTGGGCCCACCCTACTAGCAGGACTTGTGGTGTATGCCACTGCTAAAGTGTTAAAAGCCTGTTCTCCCAAATTTGGCAAACTGGTGGCAGAGGAAGCACATAGAAAAGGCTATTTGCGGTATGTGCACTCGAGAATTATAGCCAATGTAGAAGAAATTGCCTTTTACAGAGGACATAAGGTAAGATAGAAATTAAGGTGATGGGTGAAATGTGAAACTGTTCAAGTTGCCACTGCAGTGCCAGATACCATCTGTTGTCCTGTCGATGGACCCACTTCTTTAGTGTCTTAGATTCCTCTGACATCTAAACCTGAATTAAAATATATGCTTCATTACCCCTTTTAACTGTAACCAGTTAAAGGATTATAGGGTGCAAACTTTTCTAAAGTTTCAGAAGAATAAAATTTGCAACACTCTAAAAAAGTCTACTTAGCCTCAGTTACTCAAATATGCTCAGAATTATTTCTAACGCATTTTCTTAAAACTTAAATCCCAACTTGGTAGGTCATCCTAAAGCACCTACCAGAAGAAAATATATATTTAGAAACTAAGACTAAACATATTTCCACTGAAATGGAAAATTTAGAATGATATTCTTTGTTGTTCCTTTGTTGTCCAAGAGGGGGGAAGAGCCAGGGTTTCTTATAGAAGACATTTTTAACAATTTTGCATGTCTGATCAATATGGAGCATCCCCATTCCCAAGAAGCGTAGGAGAGTGTCTCACAAAATGGCATTTCTACTACTCTTAGTTCATGTTCAGCACTGTACTTTGACAAAATGAAAAGAGGAAGTGAAATGAAATTTTGTCTAGCTTTGAAAAAAAAAAAAAGCTGAAATTAGAGAAGAAATGAGGAGTACAAAAGGAGTTTCAGAATGTTTTTAATTATTAAAGATTTTCAACATTAAGCAGATCCCTAAAACAATTAGCCCAATTATACATACTAACAGTGCATGAAGGTAACTTCAGAATATGAAATGACAGAAATTTTGAAGGCAATGCAATCTTAATTTAAATGACTTGGTGAATAAAATAAAGTATTCTACTGTTGAAGATGGCATGTCAATCACCAAGCAGAATTATTTAATTTTTAAAGCATCTGTAATTATCAGTGTCTTTAATAGCAGTAGCAACCTGAAAAATAATATTTAAAGTAAATTTAGGAATCCTACTCCCACTTGAAAATTGACCTCATATATTGTATTATATCATATTGATTTGTGATTCTTCTTGAACTATTGAATTCAATGATATAAATTATAGTGTGCTTAGACTTCTTGCATAAAAGACAAAATCCAACAAATTGAGTCAGTTCAAAAGTGGAGTCTATACATATATATGTCATGTGTCCATTTTCAGATATTTTTGGTGTAATCAACAAGGACAAAGCTCTAATAATTGTTTATTCATGTCTCATATAATATCATTTAATTTTAACATCTCATACATAAAATTTAAATATCATAACTATAAATTACTTATATGTATTTTATACCTAACATTATGTCCACTGAGTAGCATAAACTTTTAAAAATAATACACATGTGACCAAAACTAAATAATAACTAATACTGGTATTAATCTGCATTTATTGGTTAAGATGCATAGATAATGCCATACTAAAAAAAAAAAAGAATAATATGTATATATCTTTAAAAAAAGTCCTCAACTCTTTTTCCTCTCTATAGGTAGAAATGAAACAACTTCAGAAAAGTTACAAAGCTTTAGCAGATCAGATGAACCTCATTTTATCCAAACGTTTGTGGTACATCATGATAGAACAGTTCCTGATGAAGTATGTTTGGAGCAGCAGTGGACTAATTATGGTGGCTATACCTATTATCACTGCAACTGGCTTTGCAGATGGTGGTAATGACATTTATGCTTAATCTCAAATATATTTTTAACATTATTTCTTTTGAAGTTGTCATTGCTAGTTTTATGTGAGCTAAACTGTGTACATGGTCATATTCTAGTTAACAATGGTCCGAAACAATGGCAGACTTTACAGCGTCCAGTGATAAGACCAGCAGTATGAAATAAGGAGACAGTGGTTCAAAGACGTTCCCAGTTCTGAGCTATTTCAGAGATCTCTGATGCAGTGTTTCTCGGAGTTGACCTTGAGCAATTTTAATTATATTGCCTAATATAGGATGATTCTTTAGTTTACACTTAACCTCAGAATAAGTTAGTACCCTCAGAAAGAGTATAACACAAGCATTCCTCATGTGTTATAAACATTAGTTCTATACATCCCATACATTTAGTCTATAAATATTCTATAACTGAATTTGCCCTGCTTTGCGATTTGAAAAGTCCATTGACTACAATGGGCAAGCAGGAATATTGCTTCAGAGAATGCTTAAGTGCCATGGAATAAGGGCTCCTCTGCTTGTGAATAATACAGATAACCTCTTATGCAGCATGATTTGGTGGTTTTGTAGGAATGGTGGTTGTCAAGCTGCAGCTGGCTAATTCTATCCTACCACTGTCTCAACAGTTTTTAATAACAGTTTTTATTCTTTGGAATAACAAAGAAAGATAAGGGCAAGGAAGAAAAGACAATGTTAAAATGTTGTATCATCCTTGGATGGGAGCTTGGATCTTAATTGGTTGGAACAGAGAAGAATTAACTGAAGAAGTATTTTCTACTCTTTTCCTAAAATAAGACATCCCTCCTTAAAAATCACTGGACTAAAATTGGCCAGAAGCATAGGCTTTGTAGTGAAACAGAGTTTTGTTCAACTTTTGGTTCCCCCTCTTCCTACGTGTATCCTCTTAGTCTGTTTAATTAGAGTTGATTAAACTCTCTATACCTTAGTTTCCTCATTTGTAAAATGAGAACCAGAAAGGCTACTTCAGAGAATTGTTGTGAGGATTTAACTGAATAATGTTTATGAAGTACAGAGCATGTTATACTTGATATATGGTGACAATTATTACCTAGAAAATAAAAGGTGACAATTATTACCTAGAAAACTAAGAATATTGTTACAGAATCTGCACTGTTTTATAGTTATTTTGTACAGAATTAAGGATGAATAGTTATTTGTTTGAAGTGATCTAATAAAAACAATAATTATAATATGCCTTAATGTTTTGAAACAGTGCTTCAATGTTTTAACCAGTCCTTACAAAAACACTTGTCAAAGTTGAGTTATTCTTAACATAAATATGTTCATTTCAGTAAGTTAGTATTTGTCAGCCTTTCTTTGTGGCAAGTGTTATGCATATATCAATTATACTTCACAAATGAACTGTGTAATAGACACTATTTGTAGACCACTGAGAAAATTGAATTTTATCTGGTTTTATGTTTCAAAATTTACTAAAAAGAATTTAATTTTAAAAAGTTTATATTGAAAAAGGTATTGTTAGTAATAGTATTTTAGACATAATCCTTTCATAATGAAATAAAATTACTTTTTCAAAAGAGTATTAGCGAGAGTGACACTTTAAAATCTATGGTGTTAATATTAGTTTTACCAAAAAAAGTCAAAATTATCAGATATTCACTTAAAAAGTCATTTCTTAAAATAACGATACTCATTTAAAAAGTTTAATATATAATGTATATTAGAGACAACTCTATAGACAAGATTATGATGTAGTTTTGTTAGTCAGTGCTTGGACACACTGGTGTTATTAAAAAACCCTGGAGTATTCAACATAGAACAGCAAAAATGCAGCTATTAAATGGTGACAAATTAACCCCAC
This sequence comes from Homo sapiens, assembly GCF_000001405.40. Lineage (NCBI taxonomy): Eukaryota > Metazoa > Chordata > Mammalia > Primates > Hominidae > Homo > Homo sapiens. Next base: position 39,615,139 of record NC_000012.12, on the reverse strand, counting down.
AGAGACCAGTAAGAAGTAAACAATGTATACAAAGAATCTAACAAGCTTATTTAACAAGATGTAATAATATATTTAAAAATAAATCCCACAAATCCTGAAAATACCATATTAAATTAAAGAAACATTAAAATTTTAGATTGAAATATAATAACCACATTGAGGCAAGTGAAACAAAGTATTTCTTAAAGCTTCTTTCAAAAGAAAATTTTTATATAGAGAAAAGTAATGTAAGAATTTCATAGACAGAAAAATGAATTCATATGACAGACTATTAATTGAGAATGTTCTTCAAAATCTGTAATATCAAGGGTTACTATCTGTGCCTGTAATGTTTGCAGGTATATGTATGTATTTACTAAATATATTTGTCATACAAAGACTTAACACATGAAAATACCGAGTGACTTTACTTAGCCAAAAGAATTTTTTTAAGATAATAGTATATCTTTAAGGTTTTAGTTCTTGGAATTACATACCATGTATTCTAATCTAATCTTCAGTCATAGTTTACACGTATGCCTTTAGTTTGTCCCTTATGTTAGAGGTAAAGTGCATGATGCTTTATATATTTTAAGGCAAAAAAAAAAGGTAGAAAAATAGGTGAGTCAGAAAGAAATGGCAAGGGGAAAATGTGAAGTAGAGGGGGGAAAAAGAGGATAAAATGAAGAAAAAAGAAGGCTGCTGTTCAAATGTTGGCTCTGCTATTTGATAGTTGTCCTTTCCTGGGAAAGTTACATACACTTTATGTACATCAGTTTTCCTATCTTAACTATAGAGATAATTATACACATCTTTCAAAATTTTTACGAAGTTACATGTAACATACTTAATGTGTTTTGAAACAGTCCTTGGCTAAGTAAGAACCTAGGTAGAAGCAATTGTTAATATTTATCATATTCTTACCCTGTGGCTCCTGAGTCAGATATTCTGGATCATATGCTGGCTTCTTTGCTTTCTAGACTGTGACCCTGGGCAAATCATGTAACCTTTTGTCCTTCAATTTCCACATTTCCAAAATGAGAGAAATGATAGCAGCGTTGTTACAAGCATTAAATAAGATCAGATATGTGAAACTTAGAACAAGGCCTGGCTCACAGATATTCAGTAGATGTTTGCTAACATGATCACTGCTGTAGCTTAAAGGAGCACGTTCAAAAGTGATTAGGAATTCAGAGGTGAAAATGGAGAAAGGAAGAACCCGCATAATTTTTGTTGGAAGGGAAAGGAAAAATAATTCTATTGCAGATTTGCTGTACTATCCACCTAAAACTTTAAGTGAAATCTTATGGTAAAGACAGGATTATGTTTGTATTCAAATTCACATAATAAAATCACATATACAACATGGCATTTTCACATCAAAAGAGGAGCTTAAAGGCCATCTGGTCTAGAGCCCCAGCTTTGCCTAAAGTCACACAGTTAGTTAGCGGAAGCTCTAAGGATGGAGGGCGTTATATAACTCCAGATGCACTGCTTTCTTCTACTGCATCATGCTGCCACCATATTAGCTACATTGGAACTTATTCTATAAGGAAGATGGGTAAGTTTGAGGCAGAGTAACCATGGGACCAAATGGTTGGCAAAGAGGCATTGAAGTGTTAGTTATGTAGAGTTTCTATTATACTATTTTTAAAGACTATCACCCCTTTCTTTACTTAGTATTAAGAGAATGACTGAAATTATGTGAAGAAAATAGTTACCTGAGGTCTACAACCTCAATTCTTTTTTTTTTTTTTTTTTTTTTTTTTTTTTTTGAGACGGAGTCTCGCTCTGTCGCCCAGGCTGGAGTGCAGTGGCGGGATCTCGGCTCACTGCAAGCTCCGCCTCCCGGGTTCACGCCATTCTCCTGCCTCAGCCTCCCAAGTAGCTGGGACTACAGGCGCCCGCCACTACGCCCGGCTAATTTTTTGTATTTTTAGTAGAGACGGGGTTTCACCGTTTTAGCCGGGATGGTCTCGATCTCCTGACCTCGTGATCCGCCCGCCTCGGCCTCCCAAAGTGCTGGGATTACAGGCGTGAGCCACCGCGCCCGGCCCACAACCTCAATTCTTTAACATTAGTAGGCTGCCTTTCTTCTCTTGATATCAAAAGCTGTTCTGGGCAAGGAGGCCAGTGAAAGCTATGAGGTTACTCTGTCAATATCTTATCACAGACACCTAACAGGCAGGAAAAAAGAGTGTCTAAGCTACTAGCACTGCCAGTAATGTCAACATGTTTGTGATCTGTGAGTGTGAAGCAGGATATCAGGAGTAACTGAAAGGCACTGCATGCACTCCAGTAGCATGGGTGATGCTTTTATTCCTAAAATGTACTGCCAATAAGATTATAACCATAGCTTCAGTTTCTGCTGCATTATTGTCTCATATTCCAATGCCAAATCGTTGAAATGTTATTTTATATTGTGGGCCAATTTGGATATAATTGTACTCTTTTTGACCAATGAACATAGCAGTATTATCAATACATATCAAAGGCGTACTTTAAAACTCTAATTAGGTATGCATAAAAGTGACTACAATTGTTTAAAGTATAGCATATATGCCAATATGGGCATAATCATTAGTGTACCAGTTAATGAGTTGTCACAAAGTATAATGACCTCACTATCAAGTAGTATTTGCTAGTTTGAAAATTTCATAAATAGTATTATATAATACATACTCTTTTATGACTAGCTTCTTTGACTCAGTATTATGCTTATGAGCTTCATCAGTGTTACTGAGTATAACCATAGCATATTTATTGACTTTGCTATATAGCATCCCGTTGTATGACTATACCATTTTATTTAACCATTCTGTTGTTAGCAGACATTAGATTGTATCCAGTTTGCTGGGTATTAGTAATAGCGCTGTTAAGAACATTTTTGTCCAGATCTTTTGGTGTATGTATATACATATCTGTGAGTACTTAACTAGAAGTAAAACTGCTAGATTACAGGCTATGCATAGGTTCAGCTTTAGCAGATTTTGTAAAACAGTTTTCCAAAAAAAGTTCTTTCAATTTACATTCCCAACAGCAATGTGTAAGGGTTCTATTTCCTCCATATCTTTGTCTGGCTTTTTCATTTTAGACATTCTCATGAGTGTATAGTGGTACTTCACTGTGGTCTTACTTTGCATTTCTCTAATGACTATTGAGGTTAAGCACTTTTATTTACTCATTGGACGTTTGGATAGCCTTTGTTATGACGTGCCTGTAAGTCTTTTGCTCATTTTTACATTGGTTTATCAGTTTTTTCTTACTGATTTGTAAAAGCTTTTATGTATTATGTAATGAGTCATTTGTTGGATATATCATATACATGCACACCACACACACACACATACACATACACACACACACATTTAATCTCAAATATATTTTCCCACCCTACATCTGGCCTTTTCACTCTCTTAATGGTGTCTAATAGAAATTCATACTTTTACTATAGTTTAATTCACCAATAATTTTCTTTATGGTTAGTGGTTTTATGTCCTATTTAAGAAATATCTGCCTAACTCAACATAATAAAGTTATTCCTTATTTTATCTTCTAGAAATTTCCTTGGTTTTTCATTTCACATTTAGATCTTCAGTCACTTAGAATGGATGTTTATATATGGTGGAGGATAGGCGCAGGTTATAAATTTTGTCAAGATTTGTCAAGATGACAAAGAGAAAGATAAATGAAGAGAAACTCAGATGATAAGCTTGAAAAAAGTAGAAGAATAAACTTACTTTTTATTTTTTAAAAATAATACACCTTATTTCTTTAGGTAAGTTTTAGGTTTACAAAAACTGATCAGAAGGTACAGTGGTCTTAAATACCCTCTCCCCCCATAGTTTCCCCTATGCCTTATATCTTGTATTAGTGTGGAACTTTCATTACAACTGATGAACCAATATCTATTCCTTATTAACCAAAGTTCATAATTTACATTAGGCTTCACTCTTTGTGATGTACATTTGCAAGGGTTATGGTAAATATATAAGGCATAACCTTAAGTTTAAAATTCTTCCCCATCTTTTCTGTGAAATAACAAGACATGTGACCAATTTTCAATATGTACTCTTTACTATCAGAGCTCCAAATTAGCAGTAAAATGAACAGGTATAGTGTTAAATATGAAATCCTTAAATGAGGAACTTTTGACAAAATAGCTAAAATATTCAGTGAGGACAAAAAGAATGTATTGACCTAGAATAAAAACTGCTTAGTATTTTAGGTCATGGATTTATATCTCTGGCACTAAGGAATCTGGCCCTGTCTTAGAGGTCAGGCAGTTGGCTGTTGTGTGCATGACAAAATACTACTGGCAATGCTCTCACAGTACCTGCCAAAGAACAACTAGTAGAATAAAAAGCCACATAAAATCTGATCTGGAGGAAGCTTTTATTATTTTATTGCTAAAAACATGAAGAAGACCCAATAAGCATTAATCTGCCAAAGCAAGACAGAAATTATCATGCCATATGAAATGCCAGTCCATCTGTGCAAATGTTTTTTCCTCTTAACAGAAGCTGTCGATGAAAACTACTATTTGAATCCCTTTTAACCCAAATTCATAAAATTCCATAATTATTTTAGATTGTCAGCCAGATTTTCTATGAGCCAAAACTATTCTTAGCATTTTAACTGATATAAGAATTTACTATTTTGGTACCCCTTTTGTGGCTATCTAAATTGTATCACACATTTACATGTCTTTAAGAATATCTATATTCTGTTCCCAGTCTATTTATGTAATCACATCTTTTGCTTCTCCCTCATACCAATGCTCATCAGCCTTTTTGTTTTCCTTCTTTAGGTAAACTAACTAATTAACTTCAAGGGGACTAACAGTAGTTCTCTAGAGGAGTGATTATCAGTAAGGCTAGGAGAGGACACATTGGACTATGGTAAAACATCTCCATGAACTCATGGTGATTCTGATAGTCCATGAAATCAGTGCTTGACGTCAACCCATACTGTAAACTTAACCAGTTTGTCATTCAATTAGCATTACTCGACATGTTCCTTCTCTGTGCTATTGCTTATGCCATACTTTTAATCTATTAAAATTTTATGCCATCTTCAAGACGTCTCTCAAAATCTACTCCTCCATGAAGCATTTTCTGTCTCTTGCAGCAAGTAATAATTTTTGCCCTCTCCAAACACCTTGCATTAACTCATCCAGGCTTCCCTACATAATTGTTTAGGAATTTGACATCTCTCTTCTACCAAGCTGTAAGCTCTCTCAGGAAAAAAAATCTGAAAATCATATTTTTTCCTGTATCTTGCCTAATTTCTTGCACATCTAAGTGTCTAGTAAATACATGCTGGGTGAATTTTACCTCATATTGTGCAGGTATCCCTTTCAAAATAAGTTGAGCTGTCTATGTGCAAAAAAAGTAAAAATATCTGGTAATTACAGCAAGGCATAAAGTATATATTTGCACTGAAATCCTTTGAGATAAATTAGAGTGAACTAAATATCAAAATGGGCCTATGGCTATCTATATCACTGCTACTTTCCTCCTTAGCTTATAATATCTAGTTTGGAAATTTGAAGATAATGTATAGAAGGACCAGCTAGAGAATCAAATTGATGAAAAGATTAAAGTAACAACCTGGAGAATGTAATTTTGAATACTAAAACTAAAATTGAGTGGATATACAATAATAGCAACGACAACTACAAAAAATAATAACTGCTGATATTTAGAGCACTTACTGTGGGCCATGTATTGCACTAACGCTTTATTCGGTTTTCACCAATAACCCTTAGAACCCTAAAAGATAGGGCTGTTTGAGATAGTTATGTACCTCATTTTACAGGTGAGAAAATAGATGTGGAGAGGTAAGTGTCTTGCCCTACTTACCTTACTACTTGCTTATAAGGAATAAAACCTAGATTCAAACCTAGTCTGATTCCTAACTCTTAACCATAATTCTCCATTGACAGTAATTTAGGATGTTCATCCATCCATCCATCCGTCCATCCACTCATCCATCCATTCAATGCACATTAAGGAGTACTATGTGTTAGACACTGTGCTGAATACTAGGAATAAAGAATAAAACACACAGTCTTGACCTTCAAAGAAATTATAGTCCACTGAAAGAGACAAGGATTCTTAGCAAAACCTTTAGTAAAGTGTTAACTCTTAAAGAAGGAGAAAAAGTTAAGCAAGAAAGAAAGGAAAGTATATTAAAGTCCAGAGAAATCACATATACAAATGCCAGAGGATTAACAGAGTATGCCATGTATGGGGTGCTGCTGGAGCGTAGGGTGAAGGATGGTTGAGAAAGGTAGACAGAGGCTAGATTATGAGAATCAGCTAATTTGCATTTCTATTAAAGAAACCACACCATAAATGTTTGTTTATTAGTAGTATTAATATTTAATTACCAGATCAATACTATTTTATTGCCCAGTAGGTATTTTATTTTATATTTTATTATTTTATTTTATTTATTTTATTTTATTTGAGGCAGGGTCTCACTCTGTCACCCAGGCTGGAGTGTAGTGGTGTGATCTCCGCTCACTGCAACCTTCACCTCCTGGGTTCAAGCGATTCTTGTGCCTCAGCCTCCCAAGTAGCTGGGATTGCAGGAATCTGCCATCATGCCCGGCTAATCTTCGTTTTTTTTGGTAGAGATGGGGTTTCACCATGTTGGCCAGGCTGGTCTCAAACTCCTGGTCTCAAGTGATCTGCCTGCCTTGGCCTCCCAGAGTGCCAGGACTACAGGCATGAGCCACCGCACCTGGCCGCCCAGTAGTACATTATTGCTCCCTCCTAAGGGCAGGGAGTCCAAGTGGAAAGGGTTGAAAGAATGCTAAATGAAAATAGTTTTAGTTCCTTTTGATTTATTTGTCCCAACTCTCATTTTGGAAAAAATAATAAAACAAGAGGAACTTTAAACAAAATCTGATACAAACACTTATTTCTCTTCTCTCCTCTCCTCTCTCTTCTTTTCATTTCTTTTTTTCCTTTCCTTTCTTCTTTTGAGAAGAGGTCTCACTCTGTGGCCCAGGCTGGAGTCCAGTGGCATGATCTCTGTTCACTGCAACCTCCACCTCCCAGGTTCAAGTGATCCTCCTGCCTCAGCCTCCCAAGGAGCTGGGACTACAAGCATGCGCCACCACATCTGGCTTATTTTTGTAATTTTAGTAGCGACAAGGTTTCACCATACTGGCCAAGCTAGTCTCAAATTCCTGACCTCAAGTGATCCGCCCACCCAGGCCTCTCAAAGTGCTGGGATTATAGGCATGAGCCACTGCACCCAGCCCAAACACTGAATTTTCAATGATTCATTATATTTCTAGAAAATTGCTACTACTAATGAAAAATTAATATGTGGTTGTTTTAGCCACAATTTAGTTTGTATAATATAAAACATTAAGTTACTAAAAAAAAAAAAAAAAAAAACTCAAGTTTTGTAATTTGTTTTTATATCTAGAGGATGGCCAAAAGCAAGTTATGGTTAGTGAACGGACAGAAGCCTTTACCACTGCTCGAAATTTACTGGCCTCTGGAGCTGATGCTATTGAAAGGATTATGTCTTCATACAAAGAGGTACTTGCATTTCTTATTGTCAATTCAATTAAAATAAAATTTATGAAAATCAAGCAAAATGTCAATTACCAAGTATACTTAGTATTTTGGAAACATATCTTTTCTCTGCCAAAAATTGCTGCGTATAATCAAGATTAAGGGCAGCAATTCACAAGTGTAATGCTGCTAATATCCTTTGTTTTATAATACTATCAATTGTTATCTCTCTTTTTCCCTCTATAGTATGATATCTTTGTTTTCACATTTTAAAGAAACCCTTAGGTATGAACTCTGGAGCCAGAGTGCCTAAATTTTCATTTTATGAATTTACAAATTATGTGACCTTGGGTCAAGGTCGCTACAGCGTCTGTGTCTCTGTTTCTTCATCTATAAAATGGGGATATGATAACACTGACTTGTGGGGTTGTTGTGAGTTGATACATGTAGAAAATTTAAAACAGCACATATTAAACACTCAATAAATGTTAGCTAATAACATTTCTTATATATCTCGCAAACTTTTACCTTTCCTTCATTAAATGGGTAATACTTTCTTACCATTCCGCATTCTTCCTGCAGAGTTTGGGTCATCCTGTTTTGTGTCCATCTCAGTGTATGTCTGATGTTTTACCACATTATAGCTGTGTATATTGCCTGCATCACACCACTCAGCTCCTTGAAGCAGGAACTGTCTTACTCATCTTTACATTTCTAATATCCATTTTCATACTTGGAATACTGTGTGGTTAATAAATATTTGTTGACAAAATAGTAATAAGACCTGCAGATACCACAGGGCCAAGGTTAAAATTACTTAATTTAATTCAGATATTACACAATGTTCCCATAAAATTATTCTCACTACCAGTTAGTCTTATGGCTATCATATCAATATAAATTCTAAAGCATCTTTGTAAATTTAGCTGCATATTAAGTCAGCCTTGAATAAACTATATAAAAGAATTACAAAGGGCTAGCAAGCAACTCAATTTTTTTAAAAAGTTCAAATAGTAATTTTGATAATCTGGAGACACAGTCTTTGGGATAGATTTGTTGATGTAATAAATTACTTAAAATTAAATGACAAATCAAAATTTTATTTATCTCACATTAAAATATTGTGCTATCTAGGTTAGAGAAATGATAACAATTAGTTTTTCTAAACTGTCTCCAACTCAACGAATGATTGCATTTTGCTTTATTTTTGCCTGAATTTACTTTTAATCATAAAATGTTCACTTCTAAAAATTCTTGTACTGCTGTGACGGCACATGAAAGCACCCACCATGCCTTCTCTGCTAGCACCAGAGGGACCAAGTTTCCTTTGTAGAGTTAGGGTTCTAAGACAAATTCCCTGTCTTGTACCCCAGAGTAATTTGTCTACCGGCACATTCTTAGTTTTTGTCAGACACTTCCTACCGTCTTCACATTCCATCCTGATCCACTGACTCATTGCCTCCTGCCTTTCTTGAATTGACCTCTACTTGTGGTTTTGGAATTCTTTTCTACCCAAATATTTATATTTGCCCAGGTTTCACTTGAATCCCTATTTTGTTGATCTTTAAATTTGTTTTCCTCTACTTGACAACTCAAGAGGTTCTTCCAGATAACATTAGAAATCATCATTTAAATAGCTATAACATTAACATATAGAAATGAAATAACAGTGTAATTACAGATCTCTCAGTAGAGATGTGTTTCAGAAGGCTTTTATAATAATACATACTCATTTACTGCTTATGTTTTGCATACACAGAAATTTTACACAAATGTCAGCATTGTTGTATTTTTCCGCAATTTATTAAGAAACATTTATTTCTGAGATACCTTGCTTATTCTTGTGTATTCTTGTGCAAGAACTATCCTTAGTTCTTGTGCATTCTGTTTCATTGAGAAACATGTTCTTGATAGGAAATGAGTCACCTTTCAGAGTACCCTGATAGCAAGGTGTTCTCTTAATAGAAAAACAGCAGGAGGTTAACCAAAATGAACAGCTGAGAGAATAGGAACAAGGCACCATTCCATTGAGCTTTGTGGACTAAAGTAGAGATTTAGCTCATCTTATAATCTTACCTAGAAAAAAAAATATATTTAATGTTTTTCTTTGGGCATATAAATCATGTTTGGCTTCAAAAGAAGCTGGATTGGGGGAATTATACTGAAAAGGATTTGAAGCTTTTCATTGAGCTTGCTCTCAATATTGGTATCCTGCCAAATAGAGGAATTTTGACAATCAATTTGGCTCAGAAACATTCATTTCATAATAGGACAAAAAGGTACTTTTCTCCTACTTAAAATCTTCTATTTTAAATAGAAAAAGGTACCAAAAATAAAAGATTATAATTTCATTGAATGACCTTAAGCTTTCCACAAAATTTATAATTTATTGGAAATGAATTTCATCATGTAAACAGAGGTCAAATCAGAAATTTGACTGAAAGATCCTTAAGTGTCATTAATATTCTGAAATCTGTATATTATGTTTTATAATTTCAATCAAACATATTATTGTGTTATAGTGCTCTTTTGTACTGTCATGTGTTTTAGTTTTCAGATGTATTATATATATCTCATGTATAATGCAATATAATCTTTTACATTAAGTCAAGAAGCTTATCTGATTACATATTTATTTAAAATATTGTCTTGGATATAGTAACTCTATTTTATATCTCTGTGTTGCTTTTAGGTCACTGAATTAGCAGGCTACACTGCTCGAGTGTACAATATGTTTTGGGTCTTTGATGAAGTAAAAAGAGGCATTTATAAGAGAACTGCTGTCATTCAAGAATCTGAAAGCCATAGCAAGAATGGAGCTAAGGTAGAATTACCTCTCAGTGACACATTGGCAATTAAAGGTATTAAACTCAAGTGCTTTTATATTTTCCTATATTTAAGTATTTATCAACAGAACCAAAGTTTAAGAAGGTAGCTTTTAGTAGTTACAAAGTACCAACATTTAAATAACCAACATTATTTAAACAGCAATCCCTAATATTAGTATTGCAATTTGAGGGGTGGTGACTAACATTACCACAAAAACACAGTGTTATGCTACTTTTATTTAGGACACAATTTTCCAAATTATTTTTGGAAACTGCACATATGGCATAATGAATCGTTTGCTTTTAAAATTCATCTAACAAATAGAATTCGAGCTAATGTCATGTTGTTCTTCATTATACTGTTTCTAAACTTAAATTTGGTTACATATTTTTTAAAATTGCATTATTCTATGTCTTATTTCCCTTTTTTGCAGCACTGTGGTTTTTTTTCTATAGGATATGTTAATTTAGGGAAATAGAGTAGTAGTAAAAATTAAGGCTGGGTTATTTCAGATTGTATAGCTTTGCTATTGTAATGATGTTGACATTCAATTATTATAAAATGTTTCTCAGAAAGATTTTTCAAGTAGATGTGTCAATATGTACAAATTTGCATTACATTAAACTTTGCTTCAGGTCTGGATATCTATATTTACATTTGTTTCTGTGATTTATTACTGTGAATTATCTTTATAATTGAAATTACCTGTTATACTGCATAATAATTTACGTTATTTAATCAGAAACCTGTGATAATGTTTGTATCTTACACTTTTTCTTAATTACAGGAAAAGTTATTGATGTGGATCACGGAATTATTTGTGAAAATGTTCCCATAATTACACCAGCAGGAGAAGTGGTGGCTTCCAGGCTAAACTTCAAAGTAAGATGATATTCAAGAATCTTCTGATTGTTGCCATCACACTAATACAAAACAACTCAGAATTCATGTACCTTATGTTAAATACTTGGAGGAGCATTTGGAAAGGGGAAATCAAGAAAGGTATGCACAGTGGCTCAATTACAGAAGCAGTTATTCCTCAGAAAGCAGAGAGAAAAGAGAAATTTGATTTCTACTGCTTTATTGCCAGGTTGAAAATCAAAATTATAGTGTACAAGGTAATTTTGGGGAACAATAGGAAATTTCATGAGAAATTTGTACCTGGAAATAAATTTTAATTTTTTGCCTTATAGAAATTATTTTTTAAAAAGCCAATACTGTAATATATTTACTAAAATATGAATAGAAGTCATTAGCAAGTTTAATTTTGTCAATATACATTATGTGACTTAAATTTTTAAAATAATTACATGTACTAATGTACTATTATAAAATAATCAGAAGATTTATGGATTGGAATTTAGTTTTTAATTCTGTTGACAATAATTTCTTATTTAATATCTTATGTATTAATTACAAAAACTAAAAAGTAAAAGTATCTAATAAACCTGACTCTCTGACTTAAGGCATTATAAAATTCAAACACATGTTTTGGGATTCAAGTACAAAATAATTTGCTGACAAGCATTAATGACATAATATAGCAAGTTGAGCTTAGTTCAAACAAAGAAATGATTTGACTTGATAAAAGAATTACAAACATGATAACACATATGCTAATTAATGATTTTAGTATGGACTTTAGTCAAGGTTTAATTATTAAAGATGTATTTGCAAATATTTTGGGTTACTGAGAGTTGAGAGGATGAGTAGCATTGAACAGGGTAAAATCCTGTGTCAGTAAATTTAAAGAAATTGTATTTTTAGCTGCAATTTGGTCAGACTTTATTTTTCCACATATAGACCTATAGGATGATCTAATTACTAGGATCTGACCACAAGCACCAATTAGGTACTCATGGCATACACAGAGTATTTAACTATTTATTAATGGTTTCATAATTTATAATTTATGATTTTATAGAGAGGGTGTTTTGGTCTGGATACATTTTATAATATTGATTCTTGTTGCTCTATTTATTTAATAAATAGTGTACATGGCTTGAGCTTTGCTTACTAACTACATTAGTGTGGGCATATCACACTCTTTCTGCAGAAAAATTTAGAGCCATTTCTTTTACATAGAATAAACTAAACTAAAAATACTCAGTCTAGTGAAAGTATCTTAGAAGGTCTGAAGTTGTACAAAGATATGCATTAGTAAAGTATACTTTCTTCATAATTATTTATTTCTAACTCAGACAGAAAATTATATTTAAATTCTCAGGTCCCTAAAATATAATAGGAAGTTCTGTTTCCTCTGCATAGATTGAAAAATAAGTTTCTAGAGGAAAGGATCTCATACCTTTGTTAGCCTTCAGGATTAAAAAACCATTTGCAGGCTGGGCGCGGTGGCTCATACCTGTAATCTCAGCCCTTTGAGAGGCTGAGGTGGGCAGATCACCTGAGGTCAGGAGTTCGAGACCAGCCTGGCCAACATGGTGAAACCCTGTCTCTACTAAAAAATACAAAAATTAGCCGGGCATTGTGGTGGGCACCTGTAATCCCAGTTACTCGGGAGTCTGAGGCACAAGAATCGCTTGAACCCAGGAAGCAGAGGTTGTAGTGAGCCAAGATCATGCCACTGCACTCCAACCTGAGACAGAATAAGACTCAGTATAAAAAATAAATAAATAAATAAATAAATAAATAAATAAATAAATAAAATTTTTAAAAAATTAAAAATTATTTGCAGAAGAAAAGTTAGTGTGAGACAAAAAGAATTCTAAGCATCAGAGACCTTTATGCTGAGAAAAATATTAATATTAATGTAGAAAGTCTCCAATTACCCCTCAAAATGTGTTAAATTTCTGAGAATGCCTAATAGAGAATGGCCCTATTGAAATATTTTGCCAATGTGCTTTTCACCATGATATATATGATTTTTTAAAAATCATTTGGAAAATATTTACGCTTCTACAAAATTAAACCCTTAGCCTTTTCTCTAGTGAAAGAGCACAGGCAGATAACAAATTAATTTTTTCTAGCTTCTTCCTGAGATTTTCTTGGTGTGCTAGCAATATAATAATACTCTTTCATCTTTGAGGTCCAGTATGATGTATTCCACATTATTGATACTTGAATATTGGTATCCTTTCTATACAAAGCTAGATCTACAGACATCCTGTAAATTTCTGATATTTATTTTTTGGGTATCACTGATTATAAAATTTCATTTGCTCTTGGTAGAAGTAGATAAAAATTTTAAATGGTGTTTCTGTTGATTGTTGTTCACAATACCCTTTAAATACCATAATAAGACAACTTCTTCATCCTATTGTGTGGAATAGGAACTCATGAAATTAAACAGTTTAAATGTCAATAATAGGATAGAAAATAAAGGGAAGCATCCAATAGATAAGAAATAAATAACCTGTTTTATTTATGAATATTATATATATATATTATTCACATATATGTAATATTCTATGTGTGTATGTATTTTAATTCATCCCTAGACATGAGACTAAAATACAATCCTCTTGCTTTCCTCTATCCTTGGTTTGTTAAACATATTTTCTCTATTTGTGAATAAAGCAGAATTTGAATCATCTTCTCTCTCTGATTATGGGCTTTTGTGATTTTTGTAGCATTTCAGACTGCTGAAGTGTAAAATTAAACAGCCCAGCTGACTCCTTGGATAACTGTGCTTTGTAGCTATTAATTGCAGTTAATTTTCAGTTGTATTTGAATTCAATGTAAATTTAATCCAATATTAATATCAAAATATAATGTAATATATTTTTAGTTAAATTTTTATGATTTGTCTTATTTCCCAGGCAGCTGTTTTTCTCTATGTGTATGTGGTATCTGATAACAAATTACAATTTTGGAAAGCCAGTGCCCATTTCAAGAAGATCCATTTTCTTTGGAATTGAATTATTTTATGATGCTTTTAGCTTCAGAGAATAGTCAAAAGCCAAACTTGTTCTCAACCCTGAAATATTTTTCCTTGATCTTTTGCCCAACCTAGGTTATCATGTTTTCGAACATTTTAAAAAAATAATTTACTTTTAGGTGCTGCCAAAATAAATCATTTTAAACTATTGCAGTTTGTAATTTTATTTCTTACTTTAGGTAGAAGAAGGAATGCATCTTTTGATAACTGGTCCCAATGGTTGTGGGAAAAGTTCTCTCTTCAGAATTCTAAGTGGGCTCTGGCCTGTGTATGAAGGAGTCCTCTATAAACCACCTCCTCAACATATGTTTTATATTCCACAAAGGTAGGTATATCTTTTTATATTACAAGAAACAATTTCCTTTTGCTCTTGAATTGTCTTGATTCCTCAAGTTCCTCAGTTTATATATCTTTAAGAATGTTTTTATTAAGAGAAACTATTAAGGAAATAAAAATTCACTTAGCCCAAAATATTTTATTACTGCTTTGATTGTAATACTCTGTAGGACAATACCACTTTTTTTCATTTTCACATCTGTCTAGATGGAATAAATACTCAAAGACTGCAGATGTTAGTCTCAAGGAATAACAAGCAGGCTGTTTCAGAGAATGATTAGATTGCCTGAGATGTCAGATTATTTCTTCTCACAGAAAAATAATAACACCCGGATAAGTATACAGCTCTCTCCATCAAGCTGCATACATTCATATATTCTAAAATTGTTCATTTATATTTGAGGATCCATAAAATAGACTTTACAATTATGCTATATGATTATTTAGCGATTTGTAACTTTCTTAAGTAAATTTTTTTACTGTAAGAATGAGTATCATGTAAACATAGAAAAAGAACATTATTTCTTCAGAGCTCTTTAGCTATCATCTTCCCTGAGAACAATTAGAAATGTCTAAAATTCAAAGTTATACACTAAGAATTTGTAATATTCATTGTGGATAAGAGAAGATGAAGTTTGAAGAACTTCCTCATGTTAATTGGACCCAGTAATTTTTCCATCTGTCATCATCCTGGATACATAGACATCCCATAGAGCACTCCTACTATGTCAGAGGACTGTTTTGTGGAGTCTAACAAGCGCCTAGGCTGGAAGTATAGTACAAGCACAAACATAAAAGTCACATCAAGTATAGTGCTCTCATATGTCCCTTTTGTCCCTTTGCCTTTGCCTGAATGTACTGTACAATCCTGTCTACTGGCCTAATTTTTAGACCAGACATAGCAGTTAGGCAGATGAGGTTTTGTGGGTTTTTTTCTTTAAAGTAAGACCTATGGTGGTAGTAAGAAGCTGCCTGGAATATAGGAGAATGAAGAACTGCATTGGCTGAAAATGCTGGACATGAGCAATGACATAGATATTTGTGTTTAACACAAAATAGATAACATTTTGTGACACCAAAAGCATTGTCCCTTTCTGTCTATGCTTTCAATTCCTTTGGGAAACATTCTGATTCTGAAAGCTAAATTATACTGCCAAAAGTTTCTGTTTTAGACATTAATGTGTTTAGTAGGTTGATTTTACTTTTTTATTTAGGTTAGAAGGCGTAGAATTATGAAGAAAATTTTCTATTATAGAATTCTATTCTCTTGATGCAAGTAAAATCACATAAATACATTTTATATTTTTAGCTACAGTTGTTGAATATAACTTTGACCAGAACAATGTAAAACATTTCCAGAGAATAAGAAAGTGAAGAAATTCTAGCCTTTGCCTGCAGAGATACTTGACTATGTTACTTTGCAACAAACAAAAATCACTAGGAAACTTTTTCTTAGTTATGAAATTTACTGTTGCTTAAGCAAAAAAACCAACTGCAATCCAGTTAAGGAGAAAAATAACAATGAGAACTCTATTTTTCAGGCTAAAATGTATTTTAATAATTACTGTTAAAAGTCATTTACCTTGATTATATGGCTTTTAGAAACATGAACATTTGGGTATATGTTAGAAGTTTTATAGGACCATTATCCTTGCAAAAACCATAGAATTTATTTAAATCCATATGTAAACTGAGAGTCTAAATGTAGTGTTTCTTACATTCCAAAAGCTATTTTTTCGAGTAAATTTAAAAAATAATCTTACGTTTTTATGATGTAAAAGAAAGCTGCTATGCAACCTATTTCAAAATATTTGTTGGTAGGTAACTGCCTTATGATATTCTCATTAGTAAATATAATCTGGCTGGGTGGGGTGGCTCATGCCTGTAATCCCAGCACTTTGGGAGGCTGAGGCGGGCGAATCGCCTGAGGTCAGGAGTTTGAGACCAGCCTGACCAACATGGAGAAACCCCGTCTCTACTAAGAATACAAAATTAGCCGGGTGTGGTGGTGCGTGCCTGTAATCCCAGCTACTCAAGAGGCTGAGGAAGGAGAATTTCTTGAACCTGGGAGACAGAGGTCGCGGTGAGCTGAGATGGCGCCACTGCACTCCAGCCCGGGCAACAAGAGCAAAACTCCACCTCAAAAAATGTATATATAATCTAATTTATTGTATTAATTCATAATAATCAAATATGTTAACTACTAGCTTAGCAGCAAAAAAATGAAATTTCAATATAGAATTGACACTTATGTATGAAATTCACAAGTCATAAGACAGAGCTTTACAATAATCCCCCTGTATTCACTTTTTGTGATTGAAAGACTTCTGGGTAGAGGATGAATCTCTTTATGGATTGATCAGAATGTACATTAATTGTTACTTGCATGGGAGAAAAATAGAGTATATTTTGTAAAAGTGGATTTATAATGATGTCATGTAGTATACGGAAGAAAGAAGTGAACCACTAAGGAAAAATTATAATTAACTATATTAGGCCATTTATTTTTTTCACCAAATCTTCACGAAGAATGCTGCTATAGCTCAGTTCATAAGCTTGGAAAGCTGAATTCCTAATAAATTATGAAACCACCTCAATGTTTTCCCAGCTAGTGTTATCTAGTACTTTAGCAGTGTTAATAATGAGAACCAGATAAAAGAAAATCTCAGCTTCAGTTCAAGAATACACACACAAAAAAATGTTGGTAGATAAATTAGTTTCATAACAGCTTCCCTTTATCCTATCTTTATTAATGACATATGATCATTAGTGGAGCATCAGATACGTTTTTGGAAAGAAATGTTTCATCAAAATGTAGATTAACCATTCTAAATCTATGGAATGGTGGATGTTAAAATGCTTAGTATTGCTCAGGTAATACTTTAAAACAGTATTCTGGAAATTTTAGGCTGTTTGAGTTTCTGAGCCATGTGAATGTACTCCTTAAGCTGATGATTGAAACTCACTGCTCTCTCCTATATTAGCCATCCTGACCTCAGGAAAAGTCTTTCATTTGGACATAGATCCTGAATTTCTTCTGTCAATTCTTGTTGCAGTTTATCTGTCTTTCCAAGTCCCTAAGGAGAGATTTGTGATCCCCTGCTCTCACTTTCACAAATCCACTAATTTATGGCCTATTTGTTACTTCCTAATCCCCTGGTAAGTTTCTGTCTTCATCCATGAAAGCCCCTAAACCCACCCTTTTACTTGTTTATTTTGTTCACCTGCTAACAAAATTTTATAGTATGCTAACAATCATCAAAATAATAAATTGGAATATTTAGTGGGAGTTGGGGGTAGAGAGAGAGTGGGAGAGAAGCAACAGAGGAAGGGACAGAAGGAAGAAAGACAGATGATAATAGATATTTGCTGACAAAATATATTTTGCTCAGAGTAAAATCTTGCTTTCTTTTGTACTAGTTTTTAAAAATAATACTCCAGAAGATCATTTGCATACATCACATTACAGTTGGGCCTCTGTATCTGCAGCTTCCACAACCTTGGATTCAACCCACCATGAATAAAAAATATTTTTAAAATAAACACTGAAAACAACAACATAACCATAAAAAATCATACAAACAAAAAACCAATGCATAGTATTTGTATTGTGTTAGGTATTACAAGTAATCTAAAGATGATTTAAAGTATATAGGGGGATGTGTGTTGGTGATATGCAAATACTGTGGCCATTTTATATAAAGGCATCTGTGGATTTTGGTGTTTTCTGGGGTCCTGGAACCAGTTCCACCCTGGGCACCAACCCATCATGTAATTCTAACACGTATGCTCTTACTACCTACGCTTCCTTGGCAGAAATATCTTGAAAAAGAAATTTTAATCGTAATTTTCTTACTATTCAAACTTACTATGCAGGCCCAAATACTAAGGCCCACAAGATCTGAAATAGATTCAGGCTTCCCACAATGGTGTACAAAAAGGTAACTTGTATAAACTTCTGCCCACCCATGACTTTGGAGTCTGAGAAACAAAAGGTTCAGAAAGTGAAAGAAGGATTATATATAAGTATAGAATTAAATCTGATCAAATACTTTTTTTAAAGAAAGAAAAAGAAAAAAAGGGAGAAATAGCTGGAGTATTGTGTTTCATGTCAGAGAGATAACAATTTTTTTTTCATTTAGTCTTTTTAGGATAGACAATAATTAGCATATAATCTTATGATGTTTATGTATCATTTAGTTATAAATAAAAACATTCAACTAATGGAAATAAAAACCAGAAATAAGTGCCTCAAGAAAGGCAAGAAATGCTATGGATGTTCAAAATGAGGAAAAAATAGAACAGTGTGTCATTTGACCTGAGTTTTGAAAGTAATTCAGGATTTGAACAGTTGCCATGGATTGCATCAGTTTCTCCAATTTCTAAATAGGTAAGAAATACCACAGATTCAAGTAAGCAGAAGTTTTTGTTTTTTGGACACTTCTGGATAGCATAATGTTCTTTCCTACTCTCCTCTAACACACGATGCTGAGAAAAGAAAGCATTTCTTAGACTCATCCCCACTAATAAGAAGTCATCAGTACATACTGGAAATGATAGTGCTCATCCTCTCAGTCCTTACTCGTTTGCTGCACTGTTTCTTTTAGCTGAAGTTCTTTGATTTAATTTTTTAAGGTTTTTTAGTAATTTGGATGTTTGCCATTTTCCCAGTCTCTAGCTAAGGAGCTCAACCTGCTCTCTATAAGTAAGTGACACAATTTTATGTGCTAAATTACTTCTCAAAAAGCATAATAAAAGATGACGGTAGCTTGCTTCCACAACACTCATTATTTTTTGTTTCCTGTTTTCAGAAGATATTCTGAAATTATGAGTAACATTTTACTTATCAGCTCAATATTTGTTTATTTCTAACTAGTAACTACTACTTCATTCACAGGGTTGTGTGCACAAGTACCATGTTACTTAATCTCCTAGATTAAATATAAATACTACTTGATAAATAAAGTTATGAATCACATTTTAAAATTAAATGCAACATAAAAGTCTTAAATTTGATTGTAAGCAGGAATGGTAAACATCACTAATTAGATTGTACAGGAAATTAAATATAGATAATAACTTTATTTCTATCTTGTTATGCATGAATAATACATATTAATTATGTTCTGTATAAGTTATGCTAAATAGAGTATTTTTAAGTAATTAAATTGAATTTCAAAGGGACTACATACTTTACTTAGCGTTATATGGAATTTCAAAGCCAGAGTTAGACTATACCAAGTCTTTGAATACAAATCTTCTGTACTCACTGCCTCTCATTTTCAGATTAATAAGATTATCACATTTAAGCATCTTAAGATGAAAAAAATCCTACTGTTTTTGATCTTAAATATTTTCTCAGATAATCATAACACAGTCTGTATTACTTTCCCAACTTTCTGAGGAATAACAAAATATCATTCTTTATAATTTGTCTTCACTTTTCAAAAATATCTGTATCTTCAGCTATCTTCTTTTTTCTTTTTCTTTTTTTGAAACAGAGTGTCACTCTGTCACCCAGGCTGGAGTGCAGTGGCACAATCTTGGCTCACTGCAGCCTCTGCCTCCTGGGTTCACCATGGTACCACCATGCACGGCTAATTTTTTATTATTTGTATTGACAGGGTTTTCCTACCTTGCCAGGGCTAATCTTGAACTCCTGGCCTCAAGTGATTATCGCACCTCAGCTTCCCAAGTAACTGGGATTACAGGCGCCCACCACGAAACCCAGAGAATTTTTGTATTTTTAGTAGAGTTGGGGTTTCATCACGTTGGCCAGGCCGGTCTCGAACTCCTGGCCTCAAGTGATCCACCCGCCTTGGCCTCCCAAAGTGCTGGGATTAAACACGTGAGCCACTCTACCTGGCCATTGTATTCTTCAACTGTTTTTCTAAGGAAGAAGAGCTTAAGACATGAAATCTCAGCCTTTACAAGTACTAGTATATTTATGTTTTCTTTGGTATCTTTAATTGATATCTATATTTTCTTTGATGGCATTTCCACTTCTTCCTTTTAATGATATAGTGTGTGTGTTTTAAAAAATTATATGCATTAAAATTGATTTTATCCTGAGAATGTTGTGACCTCTTGAGATAACTGTTGGGTCCTAGGCATCCTGAACCAGGATTGAGCATCTCTAGGGTATTGTTATTTTTTGTAATTAACAATATGTCAAACAATTAGTGTGTGCTAGTCACAATTCTACATATATAAGTTTCTTATTTTTCTGTATGACAACCTATAAAGTTGGTATTAGTATCCCTATTTTGTGAGAAAACTTAAAGAGGTTTAAGTCCTCCAGTGGATAAATGCTGGAGCTAGAATTTGAACTCAGATGTGCCTTACCCTAAAGTCATTTTGCCTTATTGGTATCAACAGGGGCATGTGTATGAAAAATTACTACCCTTTATCCTGACCTTGCAAGTATCACCAGCTAAGGTTGTTTTCTTGGTGTGCTGATCTGTACTAATATCAAGCTGTGGTTTGGAGGCAGAGGTCCTCATAATCCTCGATGTACATGGCAATTAAGTCAATTTTAACATACATTTTAGCATAGGTACTTGGCCATCATTCAGATATGTTAAGGTGAAGGAAGCTATATTCTCATATGAAAGTGAAATTTTAAAAAATTTATTGGTGTTCAATTCATTTTCAAATTAAATTTTATTCTCTACTCTTTCCTATTCTTCTAAAATTCATTTCTCCATAAAATTTTAAAGAATTTTTCAAAAATAGTCCCTTAATTTTAAATCAGAATTCTTGTTGAGATATAAAACAAGCAAACCTTAATTTTCAGGATGCATTATGGCTTAAAAAGATCATGACTTACCCTTTATGTCATCAAAAGAAGAGATTGTCGCTTGCAACAGTGAAGACGGTGTTTTATTTCAGAAGTTCTGCAGAAAGGGCTTGAAGGACGATAATACCAACATTGGCACAACTGCCCTGTGCACTAAGAAGTACTTGCACCAAATAAGCTTTATGGATATTTTAAAATATGAAGTTCTGGGCTGGGCCTGGTGGCTCATGACTGTAATCCCAGCACTTTAGGAGGCTGAGGTTGGATAATCACTTGAGGCCAGGAATTTAAGGTTAGCCCTGGCAACATAGGGGGACCCCGTCAATACAAATAATAAAAAAGTAGCTGGATATGGTGGTACTTGCCTGTAGTCCCAGCTACTTAAGAGGCTGAGGTGGGAGGGCTGCTTGAGTCTGGGAAGTTGAGGCTGCAGTGAGCCATGATTGCACCACTGCACTCTGGCCTGGGCAACAGAGTGAGATGCTATCTCAAAAGAATAAAAATAAAAATAAAACAAAAAAATAAAAGCTGTGAAGTTCCATTTTCTATTGTTTCTATATGAATGACTTCCAAATCTAAGATTTCTTCTTTGTAGGGATCAGGGAACTCTGTGTTATATATCAACATTGTTTAACCCACACATATAAAACCAGATGATGGCTATTAACTAGAAAGCATATGAGATCAGGTCAGAAGAACTGATTTGCCTCTTTTCTCTATGGAGGACAGAAAGGGTGCTGTTAAAGTATTCTCAGTGAGATCCTTGCTTTTTTTCTTTTTATCCAAGATCTCAGATTTTAAAAATGAGGATGTGGTCTGGAAAAGGATCTAAGCAAGAATCTGGGGTATGCTGTTTTAAATATCTTAATCTCAATTTTCCTATAGGTCTCTAGCTTTTGGACCTGTCAATTCTTAATGAATATCTAGCTGCCAAAAGGCAAACAGGGTGCACCTCTTGAGGACAAGGAGTGTGTTTATTTAAGAAAGAGGCAGACTAGCAGGCCACTGCCTGAGTGGAATATGGGTCTATAAAAGCCACTGGAATAAAGGAGGAATGTGATGTGGCTTAATCCAGAGCTCCTCACAGAACTCTATACCTATGTACTGTGCCAATGTGTATGTAGGTTACATATCTATTGTCCTGCTGCCCTCAAAGCAAAGAAATATGGCTTTGGGAGTAGGGGTTGTACTGGAACAGACTTTGCCCTTGTTGAGTCACTGTTGAACAAACTTTTATAGATTAAAAGCTAGAAAAGGCAACCACATGTCTCTGTACAGCACTGGTAGGATCCTAGTAAATATATTGTAATTGTGCAATAAATATCTGATAAGTGATTGACTGAATGAATGAACATCTCCACAGATTTGGTTTCTACTGCCAAGTCAATCTGGTACCTTACACTAATTATGAGCAATCTATTTATTTTGCTGCTTGCAGTAGGTATGTTGCAAAATTCTCTTTATGATGGGGATAAATATCTGTCATTTAACATGTCCTTTTTTAGAAAATTATTTTAACCACAAGGAAGGCTTAGTAGCATTGCTGTAGCAAATTGACTTCTATTCCTTGCTTTCTGACTGTTAGACTTACAGCCAAGTAATCTTTGTATAAATACCTTTGGGCAGTCAGTTGACAGAAATAGAAGTTGTACATTTTAGTTCCTCCTGTGTAGTAGTTGGTACAGTTCAGTTTTTTTAAATCTCTTTTAAAGAGATCTATAAATGTAAACACAATTTTCTATAGCTTTCTATGGCTTGGAAGAATGCTAAAGATACTTTTTAAAATCTTTAACTTTTCTAAGGGCTCATTTATAAAAGTAATAATGAAAAAACTCCCCTCTCACTCAAAAGTTTTTCTCATTTTATGAGTACTATTACATTAAACCATATGGAACTGCAATTTTTATAGGTCAAATATCAGCAATTTAAATGGTAATCTGATATAATGATAAATACTCTTAAAGTTGACTTTTACAGAAATTTGCATTTTTAACAGCTTAGCAATACTTTAATTCTTCCACTAATAATATATTTATTTATTTACTTATTGAGACAGTGTCTCACTCTATTGCCCAGGCTGGAGTTCAGTGACACAATCTTGGCTCACTGCAACCTCTGTCTCCAGGGTTCAAGAGATTCTTGTGCCTCAGCCTCCCAAGTAGCTGGGATTACAGGTGTGTGCCACCACACCTGGCTAATTTTTGCATTTTTAGTAGAGATGGGGTTTCACCATGTTGAGCAGGCTGGTCTCAAACTTCTGACCTCAGGTGATTCACCCAGCTTGGCCTCCCAAATTACGGGGATTACAGATGCGAGCCACTGCACCTGGCCTAATATTATTTTTATTACTTGGAAATAAACCTCATCCCTGCTCTTAAGAGGCTATTCTCATCTCTGTTTTGGAATCTAGAAATATCTTATCCAAAAGATATAATTTCAGTAATAGTAAATATCTATTTTCACTTGAATATTTCTTCTTATTATCACACATTTTTTAAGAATACTATAAATGACTCAAATCTAGTTCTTTCTATGCATGAAAAACCCTGATGCAATGATTGGTTCCAGCATGTATAGTTATGTGAATTATTGATAGTTAAATTTTATGCCTTTCAGATTGTTAACTTCTTTTGCTACGACAACACAGCAGTACTTAGTGGTACATTATTCTTAAACTTAACACATCTCATGCCTTAAATACAGTTAACATTGCTGCAAAATTTTTATCAATATTGTTCCAATTAAATTTTATATGATTACTTTAAAAATTTGTTTTCTCTGCATATAGGCCTTTCATGTCACACTTTTTTTTCTCCTCTGGATTTGAATTGGTTTTTTGCTCTCAATTTAGGAAATATTTAGAATTTTGTGTCATTCAGAAGCTCCAAGCACATAGATACAGCTAACACTTCTCAGTGCTTTCCCATTCTTTCTAGCTTTGTCTTAGAGAATAATAAAAAAGTAACTCTAACAAACATCAATACATTTTACCAAAAAAAAAAAATCACTGTCAGATTACTTAGATGTTAATGCAGAAAAGTGGGAATATAATGCAAAGTATAAAAGCACCTTGAGACATTAGTAACAAAACTATAAAAAGCCATAATCATGGGGAATGAATTTTATCTCAAATAATTTTACTATTATAATTGAATTTTAACTATATATACATTTGAAAGAATTGTAGATTCCCAAGAAAAAACAATTATTATAATTATTATAATTGTTTAAATAAGGATTATTTGTTAAATGATCCACATGTGACACCTATGGATTTATTTTGCTATCTTTTCCATAACATATAGAGATGATTCTGGGTTTTACTTATAGAAAGTAAATTAAAACTAGTTAATATTTCTTTTTTGATAGCTACTAATGAGGAGCAATCTGACCATTTCTTTTGTTGCTTATGTTAGATATGTTGCATGATCTCCTTTGTAATGAGCCAGAGCAAGTGAGCCAGTAACATTCTAACATGGTAATTGATCTACCTGAAATATTTAGAAGATTATCTGAATAGGTCTATATATCTAGAAAGGAAAGTTTAGTAAAGGGTACTTTGAGTGCTTATCTATTATGTATAACTTTGGTAGGACTACAGAAACTTGAACTGACTCAAAATGTTAAATTCCAGAACTTTGAGCTGGAAAGAGAATCACATGCAAACTAATTATATAAACATTGGCTATAGGGTCCTCCGTTTCCTTGTGCTTTCAAATTGAGTAAATGTCATCCCGAATTTTCTTGACACAGTCTTTCCAGAGAATTCAGTGGTGGCTTTAACATTATAATAATATTTTAAAATCATTATTTTAATAAAAACCTAAGCGGCTTTAGTTGCTATGTACATCAAACATATATAGAATGTATTATTTTTACCATTTCACATGATCATAAAACAATAATTGACAAAAAATTGAACTTTAATAAAACAATATTTGATTAGTCCTCAATAAATATATAAGCTTATGAATACTTTTATACATATTCATCAACATTCTCATTCACATCAGTTTTCAAAGTGAGCAATTTTTATACATCGTTACATCATTTAAATAACAATAGCTCAGATAGGGCTGGGTGCGGTGGCTCACACCTGTAATCCCAGCACTTTGGGAGGCCGAGGTGGGCGGAACACGAGGTCAGGAGATCAAGACCATCCTGGCTAACACGGTAAAACCCCGTCTCTACTAAAAATACAAAAAATTAGCCAGGCGTGGTGACAGACGCCTGTAGTCCCAGCTACTTGGGAGGCTGACAAGAGAACAGCGAGAACCCGGGAGGCGGAGCTTGCAGTGAGCCACCGAGATGGCGCCACTGCACTCCAGCCTGGGCGACAAAGCGAGACTCCGTCTCAAAAAAAAAAAAAAAAAAAACCCAGACCAAAGCTTCCTTATATTTGTAATAATTTCATTGCAAAGTCTTCTTATATGAACATACACATGTACAAGTAAAATATAAACATTTTGAATTCAAATAATAATTAAATATATTATAAAATAAGCTTGTGCTGTCTATCCTTCAACCTAATGGCTTGTGTACCATGGGAAAATAGGTAGATAATTCATCCACAAAACACATTTTGTATTTGAAAACCTCTCCTTCTCTTTCTTTCTCTCTCCAGGCATACACACACAATATACACCTTGTATTTTTTAATCAAGTTGCAGTAATCATACACCTTTACCCCTAATTAATTTAGGGTATATTTTCAAAGAACAGGGATATTCTCTTAGGTAACTACAGTATACTTATCAAATTCAGGAAATCTGACATTTATATATTAGTATCTAAAATACAGTCCATATTTAAATTTCAGCAATTGTCATAACACTGTACTTTATAGAGCAACTTGTTTTTCCCAATCCATTGTCATGCACTGCACTTAGTTGCCATGTCTATTTATTATAGTTTCTTTTATTCGAAAGAGTTTCTCAGCATTTCTTTATTTTATATGACATTGATATTTTTAAAGAATGCCAGACTATTGCTTTTTTTTTTTAAGAGAACACCTCAATTTGGGTTTGTCTGATAGTTTCTCCGTGATGTGATTCAGGTTATAAACTTTTTACAGAAATACTACTTGTATTAGTTTCTAAGGGCTACAAATTACCAAACACTTGGCGGTTTGAACAACAGAAATTTATTTTCTCGCATTCCTGAACACCCGAAGTCAAAGTATTGGCAATCCACGCCCTCTGAAGGCTCTTGGGGAGAATTATTTCCTGCCTCTTTTCCAGCTTCTGGTGGTGCCAAGCATTCCTTCGTTTGTGGCGGCAGTAACTCCCATCTCTGTCTCCTTCTTCACGTGGCTTTCTTTTCTTTCCTGTGTTTCTTCTCATTTGATAAGAGCATTTATTGGATTTAGGACTCATCTGGTTAATCCAGGATGATCTCGTCTCAAGAACCTTAATTAAATCTGCAAAGACTCTGTTCCTAAATAAGGTTTCATTTACAGATATGGGGGGGTCTGGATTAAGATGGATCTTTTTGGGTCCACAATTGAATTTATTGCATTACTGAAATGATGCTGTGTGCTTCTCAAAGGATAATATTAGACTGTTCCAGATGTAGATAGGGCTAGAAATTTTTTTATTAAAAAACATAAATTCATACTGATACTCAAATTAAAATTAGTTTTTCTCTTGCCTTCCCACACAGCATGTTTGTATCTTTCTTCTTCCACAGTGAGAACCCTTGCTCCTAACATTACCAAACCATTTACTTACGTAACCAATCCTACAATATACATAAAATAGTTTCAGAATTGCTACCCCTATATCATTAGCAAAAATAAACTTGCAAGTAAAGTTTAAAATTTCCGCCTGATTCTTTCTGTCTTTGACTGAAATTATATAGCCAAGTTCAAAAATTACATGGATTAATTCATCCCCACCTCCATCCCCTTCGCTGTGTGGTTACTTTATCCTTTGGACATACTGTTCAGTTAAATTGTTTCTATTTGTATTCAATTTTAAGGTTTCTTCCTTCGTTCTTGTTGGTTTAATTTTATTTATTTATTGAATAGTAACACTTTGAGGGATTCCAAAAGTAAAAACTTTATTAATAGAAAGGATACGTAGGCCTTTTCCTGCCTATCCATTCCACCTTGTTCCTCCCACCTCCTGTAGCTAACCAACTTCACTAGTTTCAGGTTTACTCTTCCTGTGTTTCCTTTTTTAAATATAAATGGGTATGTCTATATTTCATTTTGCTTTCTTTTTACATAGAAGTGGTTCTCAACCGGGAAGATTTTGTCCCCCAGGGACATTTGGCATTATCTGGAGACAATTATTTTTGTTCACTACAGGAAGGGGTGCTGCTGACATCTAGTGGGTAGACATCAGGCATAATGCTAAACATCCTACTGTACACAGGGTAGCCCTCGACAATAAAGAATTATCTGGTTCAATAAGCCAAAGTGCCGTTGTTGAGAAACCCTGCTGTAAGTCTACTTTTGCATTTTGCTTTTCAACTTAACAATATATCATGGAAATCACTCTATATCAGTTTATAGAGGTCTTCCTCATCCTTTTATTACAGCTGCTTAGCGGATGTACTATAGTTTATTCTGTCTGTCTTCTTTGTATGGGTATTTATGTTGTATTTCAGTATTTTGCTATTACAAATAAGCTGTAATGAATAACCTCATGCATCTTTTTTTGTATTTTTAGAAGTATATTTTCAGAGTGAATTCCCAGAAGGAGGTCAAAGGGCAACAAATGCTCTGTCAGTTTGCCAAATCCCCTCTGTAAGAGTTGTACCATTCTGCATTTTCACTGTAGTGTGAGAACATTCCCTTACCCATAGGCCTGCCAGTGGAGTGAGTTACCAAGTTGTTGAATTTTTGCCAATCTGATTAGTAAGAAACTCAATGTAGTTTTAATTTGTGTTTTTCTTACTATGAATTAAATTTTTTTGTTTTGTTTGTTCACATTGCTGGGTCGAAACCCAAATTGTATAATATGTCACCCAAATAATTATAGATGAATTACAGAAGCAATCTTTATCAAATACAGTGAAACAAAGTATATACAATATTTCCCTGCTGAAAATGTTAAATGTGGCTGGGTTCTATGGCTCACAACTGTAATCCCAGTGCTTTGGGAGGCCAAGTTAGGAGGAATCACTTGAGGCAGGTGTTTGAGACTAGCCTGGGAAAACATATCAAGACCCTGTCTCTACAAAATATAAAATAAAATAGAATTTTTTAGAAAAAGAAAATGTCAGATGATTTCTTGGAGAAGCTTTTCTTGTGTCCATGTGTCAGTAAGTTTTTATGTAAACATAACGGTATTGTTTAGCAGTGCCTGAGGGAGAAGTACTCATCGCCAGGTAACAAATATCATCCTGGAAATGTAGTGTTTAAAGTCTTCACTGATGTTTTCAGACTACCAAGTTGTCACACTGAGTAAGTTATCATGACTTTCCACTAGGATTCTTGTGTGCTTGGTGTTTTAAAGGCCATATATGTCTCTTGGAAGTCTTCGGGATCAAGTCATTTACCCTGATTCAGTGGATGATATGCATGATAAAGGTTATACAGACCAAGATCTGGAACGTATCCTACACAATGTCCATCTCTATCACATAGTTCAAAGAGAAGGAGGTAAAGTCTATCATTCTTTTCTAATGCATTTAACTTCACTTTTAAAAAGTAAGCTTGGGTATATATTTAGTCTGTGGTTTAATTTGAATGTATGCTATAATCGGAAATAAGCACATAAGTGTAAAGATGGAGTTTTATTGCTGTTCCATTATTTACATTTCTTTTTCTGCTTGTGTTGTGTTTAATGCAACACACTAAGTTTTTATTAAGTCTCCATGTCAGTGCAGCTAACATTTAAAAACAGTTTTTTTCTTTTATATTCGAATGTACAAAGTCCCTGAGGCCATTGTCAGTCTAGATGTATGTAAAGTCTATGACAGACATATTTGCCTTACAAGCTCTCAGCTCACATTAAATTAAATAATTTGAGAAGTAGATACCACAGAACTTTTTTTGTTTTCAGACCCACAATCTGACCAGTATCTTTTTTTGCTCTCAAGCAGCACACAGGTAATTAAAGTTAGAAACTTCTGTATTGTGGTTTTTCAGCATAAAACATTTTTGAAAGAGTATAAATAACATTTGTACATATAAGCTTAAAATAGAATTATTGTCTAATAATACTCTTTCTGTGTTTAGTGATACTTTCAAATAATTTAATAATAATAATCACACTTTAACTAGATAAGCCAGGCAAGAGAAAGAAATAAAGGGCATTCACATAGGAAGAGAGGAAGTCAAACTATCCCTGCTTGCAGACACATGATTCTATATCTAGAAAACCCCATAGTCTCAGCTCAAAGCTCCTTCAGCTGATAAACAACTTCAGCAAAGTTGCAGTGTACAAAATCAACATACAAAAATCACTAACTTTGCTATACACCAACAACAGCCAAGCGAACAGCCAAATCAGGAAGGCAATCCCCTTCACAATTGCCACAAAAAGAATGAAATACCTAGGAATACAGCTAACCAGGAAGGTGAAAGATCTCTACAATGGGAATTACAAAACACTGCTCAAAGAAATCAGAGAAGACACAAATGGAAAACCATCCCATGTTCATGGATAGGAAGAATCAATATCATTAAAATGGCTATGTTGCCCAAAGCAATTTACATATTCAATGCTATTCCTATCAAACTACCAATGACATTCTTCACAGAACTAGGAAAAAAACTATTTTAAAATTTGTTTGGAACCAAGAAAGAGCCTGAATAGCCAAGGTAATCCTAAGCAAAAGGAACAAAGCTGGAGGCATCATGCTGCCCCACTTCAAACTATACTACAAGTCTACAGTAACCAAAACAGCATAGTGCTGTTACAAAAACAGGCACAGAGACCAATGAAACAGAATGGAGAGCACAGAAATAAGGCCGCACATCTACAACCATCTAATCTTCAACAAAGCTGACAAAAACAAGCAATGGGGAAAAGACTCCCTATTCAATAAATGGTGCTGTGATAACTGGCTGGCCATATGCAGAAGACTGAAGCTGGACCCCTTCTTTATACCATATACAAAAATCAACACAAGATGGATTAGAGACTTAAATGTAAAACCCCAAACTATAAAAACCCTGGAAGACAACCTAGGCAAAACTATCCTGGACATGGAAACAGACAAAGACTTCATGACAAAGATACCAAAAGCAATCACAATGAAAGCAAAAATTGACAAGTGAGATCTAATTAAATTTAAGAGCTTCTGCACAGCAAAAGAAACTATCAACAGAGTAAACAGACAACCTACACAATGGGAGAAAGTATTTGCAAATTATGCATCTGACAAAAGTCTAATATCTAGCATCTATAAGGTACTTAAACAAATTTACAAGGGAAAAACAAACAACACCATTACAAAGTGGGAAAAGGACATGAACAGACACTTCTCAAAAGAAGACATACATGCAGCCAACAAGCATATGAAAAAAGCTCAATATCACTGATCACTAGAGAAATGCACATCAAAACCACAATGAGGTACCATCTCACACCAGTCAAAATGACTATTAATAAAAAGTCAAAAAATAACAAGATGTTGAGAAGGTTGTGGGAAAAAGAGAACACTTATACACTGTTGGTGGGAGTGTAAATCAGTTCAACCACAGTGTGGCAATTCCTCAAAGAGCTAAAAACAGAACTACCATTTCACCCAACAATCTCATTACTGGGTTTATACTCAGAGGAATATAAAATCATCTACCACAAAGACATATGCACACAAATGTTCATCACAGCACTATACACAATAGCAAAAACATGGAATCAATGTAAATGCCCATCAATGACAGATTAGATAAAGAAAGTGTGGTAGAGGTCCACCATGGAATATTATGCAGCTAGAAAAAAAGAATGAGATCATATATTTTGTGGGAACATGAATGGAGCTGGAGGCAATCATCCTTAGCAAACTAATGCAGGAACAGAAAACCATATACTTACTGTATGTTCTCACTTTTAAATAGGGCTAAATGATAAGAACTTACAAGCACAAAGAAGAAAACAACAGAGACTCAGGTCTACTTGAGGATTGGAGGGTAGGAGGAGGGAGAGGAGCAGAAAAGAAAATTATTGGGTACTGGGCTTAATACCTGGATGATGAAATAATATGTACAACAAATCCCCATGAAACGTGTTTACCTATGTAAGAAAACTTCACATGTGCCCCCAAGCCTGAAAGTTAAAAAATAAAATAAAATAAAACAAAAAATTATATTCACACTTTCAAATAATTCAATAATTCATATAATTTGATAGTTTAGAAAAATGACTGAAATAACAAATGAGACACCAAGTTTAATTTTAAATGTATTTTATGTTCTATTTTACAGCCCACTTACATTATTAGAAGTAGAGTAAGTAGTACAGTGATTGAGAATATGGACTTTTAACTCAGAGTTCTGGAATTAAATCTTGATTAGCCCTGTTCTCTGTATCTTCAACTGTAAAATGAGGATAAATATCTACCTTATAAGTTTTTTGTGAAGATTAAATAAGACTGTATGTAAAACATTAGCACAGTGGCATATGAGTACACAAGAATTAGTAGCTGGCCCCGTCCGGCAGCTCACACCTGTAATCCCAGCACTTTGGGAGGCCGAGGAGGGTAAATAGCTTGAATCTAGGAGGTTGAAACCAGCCTGGGCAACATGGTGAAACCACTTCCCTACAAAACATACAAAAATTATCCGGGAATGGTGGCACACCCCTGTAGTCTCAGCTATTTGGGAGGCTGAGGTGGGAGAATCACCTGAGCCCGCAAAGTCAAGGTTGGAGTGAGCTGTGATTGCATCACTGCACTCCAGCCTAGGCAACAAGAGTGAGACCCTGTCTAAAAAAAAAAAAAAAAATTAGTAGCTAATGGTAATATTAGTAGTTGTAATATTGATACTGTACTTTGTCTTTGTGTGATAATGCTTGAAGTTTTATATAACAATATCACATACATTATTTCATTTGATCCTTACAATAAACAAATAAGGCAGGCAAGAAAAATACTTTTATTTTTTGGTATTTGTAATTCCTACTATATATGGAAAGCAGATTGATTTTTTGTTTCATGTGGTCAACTCCTTGGAGTTTCAGAAGGCTGTGGTAGAATAAATGCTACATGTTTATCTTGGGCAAGTTATTTTGAGGACGTTTGAAATCTAATGATCCAAATAGAAATTTAGAATAAACATGAAATATTCTATTCTTTTGGAAGTCATCAGGAAGGTCTAGAACTCTTTCCAAGAATTTTCCAAACTTAAAAATGTAATCGTAATTGTTATGGGCTATTGAGTGCTTACTATGTGGAATTTACATATATCATTATTTAATATCCATAATAGTCCAATGATGTAGGTTTTACTATCTTCATCTTAAAGATTAATTTCAGAAATTTAGTAACTTACTCAGAGTCCCATGGCAAGTTGTGGGACAGGGATTCAAGCACAGTTCTGACTTGAAAGTCAGTGTTCTATGCGAGGGTATGCCACTATACTATGGTAACTCCTGGCTTTTTAAACAATAATAAAAACTATTATATCCTTGCACATAAAAAAAAACTTCAGGGAAACCTGTTTTACTTGCTTAATTCTTAAACCTGAAATATTTAAGCAAGGCAGGAAAACACTTAAATTTGCAAGTGCATTATTTAATTTGAAAGAAGCCTACTGAAGTTCTGTTTAGACTAGCTAATCCTTTGGTTGGTATAATAAAAATGGAATTAAAAACTACATTCCATTCCATCAACTAGGTTACAAAACAGGAAAGCATAAAAGGGTTAACAAATGGACACGAACTAAAGAAGAGTATACATCTCTAGGAAGCAGGAAAATCATTCTCTTCTTTGCTGACTTTGTCTCACTAAATCAGGGTCAGAGGCAACATTATGACTCAGAGTTTTGATTTATGTGTTCCGTGATCATGCAATATTGCCTGCCTACAAAAACCTTTGGGTTTAGTAGAACAAAGAACGTGATTTATTAAAATATGTAAAAGTTAAAGTGTCCTTTGACCCAAATACTTTTCTCTTGTGCCATGTTTTCAGGGGGCAGGGGAAAAAAAAGTTAAGCCCAGAATATTTCTCCACTGCATAGTAATCCAAGTCTATTTCTCAAATCATCACTTACATTTCATAAATACTATGAAATTCAATCACAGGGAAAGTTTTATTTCAACAGTTTTCCCTAGAAGCAAGAACTCTAAATCAGATGGTATTTTAAGATTATTTTTCCTAACATAAAATTTTAAGGATTTGTCTATTTCCTATGTGTATTTTCTTACTTAAAAAATGACAATTTCTGGAAGTTTACCCAAGAAAATGAACAGTGATTTCCTCTGGAGAGTGAGATTTCAGGTGTCACTGGGAAATCGGGAAAGTCTC